>NC_000024.10:10316944-10544039 GCF_000001405.40 Homo sapiens | reverse complement strand
TCTGTGTAGTTTTTATGTGAAGATATTTCCTTTTCCACAACAGCGTGCAAAACGCTTCAAATATGCCCTTAGAGATTCCACAAAAAGAGTGTTTCCAAACTACTCAAATCAAAAAATGATTTCAACTCTGTGAGATGAATGCACACATCACAAACTAGTTTCTCAGAATGTTTCTGCCTGGTTCTCATGCGAAGATAGTTCCTTTTTCACCATAGGCCGCAATGTACTCCAAATATCCACCTGCAGATTCTACAAAAGTGAGTTTCAAAACTGCTCTATCAAAAGATCAGTTCGTCTCTGTGAGTTGAATGCATACATCAAAAAGAAGCTTCTCAAAATGCTTCTGTGTGGTTTTTCGGTGAAGATAGTTCTTTTTCTACCATAGGTCTCAAACCACTCCAAATATCCACTTGTAGATTCTATAAAAAGGAATGTTCAAAATTGCTCAATAAAAATAAAGTTTCAACACCGTGAGATGAGTGCACAAATCACAAAGGAGTTTCTCAAAATGCTTCTGGGTAGTTTTTCTGTGAAGATAGTTCCTTTTCTACCATGGGCCACAAAGGGCTCCAAATACCCACTTGCAGATTCTACAAAAAGAGAGTTTCACAACTGCTCTATCAAACAATATGTTCAACTTTGTGGGTTGAACACAAATATCACAAGAATTTTCTCCCAATGCTTCTGTGTAGTTTTTATGTGAAGACATTTCTTTTCCCTCCATAGTCCACAAAGTGCTCCAAATATCCACTTACATATTCTAGAAAAAGATTGCTTGGAAACTGCACAATGAAAAGAAAGGTTCAAATATATGAGATGAATGCACACATCACAAAGAAGTTTCTCAGAATCTCTCTGTGTAATTTTTATGTGAAGATATTTCCTTTCCCACCTTAGGTCTTAAAACGCTCCAAATATCCACTTGCAGATACTACAAGAAGATTGTTTCAAAACTGCACAAAAAAAGAAATGTTCAATTCTGTTTGATGAATGCACACATCACAAAGAAGTTTCTCAGAATGCTTCTCTGTAGTTTTTATGTGAAGATATTTCCTTTTCCACAATAGGCCTCAAAGGGCTCCAAATATCCACTTCCAGATTCTATGAAAAGAATATTTCCAAACTGCTCAATCATAGGAAATGTTCAACTCCTGTGAGATGAATGCACACATCACAAGAAATTTCTCAGAATCCTTCAGTGTAGGTTTTATGAGAAGATAATTCCTTTTCCACAATAGTTCTCAAAGCACTCAAAATATCCACTTGCAGATTCTACAAAAGGAGTATTTCAAAACTGCTCAATCAAAAGAAAGGTTCAACTCTGTGAGATGAATGGACACATCACAAAGAAGTTTCTCAGAATGCTTCTGTGTAGTATTTTTGTGAAGATATTTCTTTTCCACCATAGACCGCCAGGGGACACAAATATCCACTTTCAGATTCTACAACAAGAGAGGTTCAAAACTACTCGATCAAGAGATGGTTTCAACTATGTGAGTTGAATGCACACATCACAAAGAACTATGTCGGAATTCTTCTGTGTAGTTTTTATGTGAAGATATTTCCTTTTCCACAATAGACGTCAAAGTGATCCAGATATCCACTTGCAGATTCCACAAAAAGAGTGTTTCAAAAGTGCACAACCAAAAGAAAGGTTCAACTAGGTGAGATGAATGCACACATCAGAAGGAAGTTTCTCAGAATGCTTCTGCATAGCTTTTAAGGGAAGATACTTCCTTTTCCAACATAGGCCTCAAAGCACTCCAAATATCCTCCTGGAGATACCACAAAAAGAGTGTTTGCAAACTGCTCAATCAAAAGAAAGATTTAACTCTGTGAGATGAATCCACACATGACAAAGAAGTTTCTCAGAATGCTTCTGTGTAGTTTTTATGTGAAGATATTTCCTTTTCCACAATAAGACCCAAAAGGCTCCAAATATTCACTTGCAGATTCTAAAAAAAACAGTGTTTCAAAACTGCTCAATCAAAAGATAGTTCAACTCTGTGAGAAGAATGCTCACATCACTGAGAAGTTTCTCAGAATGCTTCTGTGTAGTTTTTATATGAAGATATTTCCTTTCCCACCGTAGGCCACAAAAGGCTCCAAATATCCACTTGCAGATACTATGAAAAGAGAGTTTCAAAAGTGCTCATTCAAAAGATAGGTTCAACTCTGTGGTTTGAATGCACACAGCACAAAGAAGTTTCACAGAATGTGTCTGTGTAGTTTTTATGTGCGGATGTTTCCTTTTCCACCATATGCCTAAATATTTCCCAATTTCCACTTGCAGATTCCACAAGAAGAGTGTTTCAAAACTGCTGTATCAAATAAAGTTGAACTCTGTGAGGTGAATGCACACAGCACAAAATGGTTTCTCAGAATGCTTCCTTGTTGTTTTTATATGAAGATGTTTCCTTTTCAACAATAGGCCTCAAAGTGCTTCAAATGTCCACTTGCAGATTCTACAAAAAGAGTGTTTCAAAACTGCTCAATCAAAAGAAAGGTTCGACTGCTGGGAAATTAATGCACACATCACAAAGAAGTTTCTCAGCTTCTGTGTAGTTTTCATGTGAAGTTATTTCCTTTTCCACAATAGGCCGCAAAGGGCTCCAAATATCAACTTACAGATTCTAGGAAAAGAGAGTTTCAAAACTGCTCTACGAAAAGATAGGTTGAACTCTGTGAGATGAATGCACACATCACAAAGAAGTTTCTCAGAATGCATCTGTGTAGTTTTTACGGGAAGACATTTCCTTTTCCACCATCTTCCACAAAGGTCTCCAAGTAACCACTTGCAGATTCTACAGAAAGACACTTTAAAAACTGCTCTATCAAAAGATCAGTTCAAGTCTGTGGTTTGAATGCACACATCACAAAGAATTTTCTCAGAATGCTTCTGTGTAGTTTTCATATGAAGATATTTCCTTTTCCACCATAGGCCTCAAAGCACTCCAAATATCCACTTGCAGATTCTACAAAAAGAGATTTTCAAAACTAGTCAATCAAAAGAAAGGTTCAACTCTGTCAGTTGAATGCACATATCACAAACAAGTTTCTCGGAATGCGTCTGTGTAGTTTTTATGTGAAGATATTTCCTTCTCCACAACAGGCCTCAAAGTGCTCCGAATATCCACTTGCAGATTTTACTAAAGAGTGTTTCCAAACTGCTCAATCAAGAGGAAGTTTCAAGTCTGTGAGCTGAACGCACACATCACAAAGTAGTTTCTGAGAATGCTTCTGTGTAGTTTTTATGTGAAGATGTTTCCTTTTCCACCATAGGCTGCAAAGGGCTCCAAATATCCACTTGCAGATTCTACAAAAAGAGAGTTTCAAAAGTGCTCTATCAAAAGATAGGTTCAACTATGTGATATGAATGCACACATCACAAAGTAGTTTCTCAGAATGCTTCTGTGTAGTTTTTATGTAAAGATATTTCCTTTTCCACCATAGGCCTCAAAGCACTCCAAATATCCACTTGCAGATTCTACAAAAAGAGATTTTCAAAACTATTTAATCAAAAGAAAGGTTCAAATCTGTCAGTTGAAGGTACATATCACAAACAAGTTTATTGGAATGCTTCTGTGTAGTTTTTATGTGAAGATATTTCCTTTTCCACAACAGGCCTCCAGGTGCTCCAAATATCCACTTGCAGATTTCACTAAAAGTGTGTTTCCAAGCTGCTCAATCAAGAGGAAGTTTCAAGTCTGTGAGGTGAATGCACACATTACAAAGAAGTTACTGAGAATGCTTCTGTGTAGTTTTTATGTGAAGATATTTCCTTTTCCACCGCAGGCCTCAAAGCGCTGCAAATATCCACTTGCAGATTCTACAAAAAGAGAGTTTCAAAACTGCTGTATCAAAAGATAGGGTCAACTCTGCGAGTTGAATAAACACATCACAAATAAGTTTCTGGGAACGCTTCTGTATAGTTTTATGTGAATATATTTCCTTTTCCACCATATGCCTCAAAGCACTCCAAATATCCACTTGCACATTATAGAAACATAGTCTTTCAAAACTTGTCAATCAAAGAAAGGTTCAACTCCGTGAGATGAGTGCACACATCACAGAGAAGTTTCTCGGAATGTTTCTGTGTAGTTTTTATGTGAAGATATTGCCTTTTCCACAATAGGCCTCAAAGCGTTCCAAATATCCAATTGCAGATTCCACAAAAAAAGTTTTTTAAAACTGCTCAATCAAATGATAGATTAAACTCTGTGAGATTAGTGCACACATGTCAAAAAAGTTTCTCAGAATGCTTCTGTGTACTTTTTAGGGGAAGATATTTCCTTTTCCACCATCGGCCACAAAGGACTCCAAATAACCACATGCAGATTCTAGTAACACAGAGTTTCAAAACTGCTCTATCAAAAGATAAGTTCAACTCTGAGAGTTTAGTGCAACCATCGTGAAGAAGTTTCTCAGAATGCTTTCTGAGTAGTGTTTATGTGAAGATATTTCCTTTTCCACCATAGGCCTGAAAGCCCTCCAAATATCCACTTGCAGATCCTACAAAAAGAAAGTTTCGAAATGCTCTCTCAAACGATAGTTTCGACTCTGTGGTATGAATACACACATCACAAAGAAGTTTCTCAGAATGCTTCTGTGTAGTTTTTAAATGAAGATATTTCTTTTTCCACCATAGGCCTCAAAGCACTCCAAATATGCACTTCCAGATTCTACAAAAAGAGTGTTTCAGAACTGCTCAATCAAAAGGAAGGTTCCAGTCTGAGACAAATACACACATCAAAAGGTAGTTTCTCAGAATGCTTCTGTGTAGTTTTTATGTGAAGATATTTTCCTTTCCACCATAGGCCACAAATGGCTCTAAATACCCACTTACATTTTCCACAAAAAGAGAGTTTCAAAACTGCTCTACCAAAGGTAAGTTTAACGCTGTGAGTTAAGAACATCACAAAGAAGTTTCTCAGAATGCTTCTGTGTAGTTCTTACGTAAAGATATTTCCTTTTACACAATAGGCAGAAAAGTGCTCCAAATATCCACTTGAAGATTCTACAGAAACCGTGTTTCAAAACTGCCGAATCAAAAGAAAGGTTCAACTCTGTGAGATGAATGCACACATAACAAAGGAGTTTCCTCAGAATGCTTCTGTGTAGCTTTTATATGAAGACATTTAGTTTTCCACAACAGGCCTCAAAGCTCTCTCCATATCCACTTGCAGATTCTACCGAAAGAGTGCTTCCAAACTGCTCAATCAAAAGAGACATTCAAATCTGTGAGGTGAATGCAGACATCGTAAAGAAGTTTCTCAGAATGCTTCTGTGTATTTTTTGTGTGAAGTTATTCGTTTTTGCACCATAGGCCTCCAAGCGTTCTAAATATCCACTTCTAGATTCTACAAAAAGAGAGTTTCAAAACTACTCAAACAAAAGGTTCAATTCTGTGAGTTGAAAGCAAACATCACAAAGAAGTTTCTCAGAATGCGTCTGTGTAGTTTTGATGTGAAGATATTTCCTTTTCACAGTAGAATGCAAAGGGCTCCAAATATCCACTTGGAGATTCTACAAAAAGAGTTTCAAAACCGCTCTGTCAAATGATAGGTTGAACTCCCGGAGGTGAATACACACATCACAAAGCGGTTTCTCAGCATGCTTCTGTGTAGTTTTTATGTAAACATATTTCCGTTTCTATCATAGGCCTCAAAGTGCTCCAAATATTCACTTGTACATTCTACCAAACGAGTATTTCAAAACTGCTCAATCAAATGGAAGGTTCAAAACCGTGACATGAATGCCCACATCACAAAGTAGTTTCTCAGAATGCTTCTGTGTAGTTTTTATGTGAAGATATTTCCTTTTCCACAACAGCGTGCAAAACGCTTCAAATATGCCCTTAGAGATTCCACAAAAAGAGTGTTTCCAAACTACTCAAATCAAAAAATGATTTCAACTCTGTGAGATGAATGCACACATCACAAACTAGTTTCTCAGAATGTTTCTGCCTGGTTCTCATGCGAAGATAGTTCCTTTTTCACCATAGGCCGCAATGTACTCCAAATATCCACCTGCAGATTCTACAAAAGTGAGTTTCAAAACTGCTCTATCAAAAGATCAGTTCGTCTCTGTGAGTTGAATGCATACATCAAAAAGAAGCTTCTCAAAATGCTTCTGTGTGGTTTTTCGGTGAAGATAGTTCTTTTTCTACCATAGGTCTCAAACCACTCCAAATATCCACTTGTAGATTCTATAAAAAGGAATGTTCAAAATTGCTCAATAAAAATAAAGTTTCAACACCGTGAGATGAGTGCACAAATCACAAAGGAGTTTCTCAAAATGCTTCTGGGTAGTTTTTCTGTGAAGAAGTTCCTTTTCTACCATGGGCCACAAAGGGCTCCAAATACCCACTTGCAGATTCTACAAAAAGAGAGTTTCACAACTGCTCTATCAAACAATATGTTCAACTTTGTGGGTTGAACACAAATATCACAAGAATTTTCTCCCAATGCTTCTGTGTAGTTTTTATGTGAAGACATTTCTTTTCCCTCCATAGTCCACAAAGTGCTCCAAATATCCACTTACATATTCTAGAAAAAGATTGCTTGGAAACTGCACAATGAAAAGAAAGGTTCAAATATATGAGATGAATGCACACATCACAAAGAAGTTTCTCAGAATCTCTCTGTGTAATTTTTATGTGAAGATATTTCCTTTCCCACCTTAGGTCTTAAAACGCTCCAAATATCCACTTGCAGATACTACAAGAAGATTGTTTCAAAACTGCACAAAAAAAGAAATGTTCAATTCTGTTTGATGAATGCACACATCACAAAGAAGTTTCTCAGAATGCTTCTCTGTAGTTTTTATGTGAAGATATTTCCTTTTCCACAATAGGCCTCAAAGGGCTCCAAATATCCACTTCCAGATTCTATGAAAAGAATATTTCCAAACTGCTCAATCATAGGAAATGTTCAACTCTGTGAGATGAATGCACACATCACAAGAAATTTCTCAGAATCCTTCAGTGTAGGTTTTATGAGAAGATAATTCCTTTTCCACAATAGTTCTCAAAGCACTCAAAATATCCACTTGCAGATTCTACAAAAGGAGTATTTCAAAACTGCTCAATCAAAAGAAAGGTTCAACTCTGTGAGATGAATGGACACATCACAAAGAAGTTTCTCAGAATGCTTCTGTGTAGTATTTTTGTGAAGATATTTCTTTTCCACCATAGACCGCCAGGGGACACAAATATCCACTTTCAGATTCTACAACAAGAGAGGTTCAAAACTACTCGATCAAGAGATGGTTTCAACTATGTGAGTTGAATGCACACATCACAAAGAACTATGTCGGAATTCTTCTGTGTAGTTTTTATGTGAAGATATTTCCTTTTCCACAATAGACGTCAAAGTGATCCAGATATCCACTTGCAGATTCCACAAAAAGAGTGTTTCAAAAGTGCACAACCAAAAGAAAGGTTCAACTAGGTGAGATGAATGCACACATCAGAAGGAAGTTTCTCAGAATGCTTCTGCATAGCTTTTAAGGGAAGATACTTCCTTTTCCAACATAGGCCTCAAAGCACTCCAAATATCCTCCTGGAGATACCACAAAAAGAGTGTTTGCAAACTGCTCAATCAAAAGAAAGATTTAACTCTGTGAGATGAATCCACACATCACAAAGAAGTTTCTCAGAATGCTTCTGTGTAGTTTTTAATTGAAGATATTTCTTTTTCCACAATAGGCCTCAAAGCGCTCAAAATATCCACTTTCACATTCTACAAAAAGAGTGTTTCAAAACTGCACAATCAAAAGATAGTTCAACTCTGTGAGTTGAATGCGCACAACAAAAAGATGTTTCTCAGATTTCTGTGTAGTTTTTATGTAAAGATATTTCCTTTTCCACAATGGGCCTCAAAGTGCTCCAAATATCCACTTGCAGATTCTACAAAAAGAGATTTCCAAAACTGCTCCATCAAAAGAAAGTTTCACCTCTGTGAGATGAATGCACATACCACAAAGAAGTGTCTCAGAATGCTTCTGTGTAGTTTTTATGTGAAGATATTTCCTTTTCCACAATAAGACCCAAAAGGCTCCAAATATTCACTTGCAGATTCTAAAAAAAACAGTGTTTCAAAACTGCTCAATCAAAAGAAAGGTTCAACTCTGTGAGAAGAATGCTCACATCACTGAGAAGTTTCTCAGAATGCTTCTGTGTAGTTTTTATATGAAGATATTTCCTTTCCCACCGTAGGCCACAAAAGGCTCCAAATATCCACTTGCAGATACTATGAAAAGAGAGTTTCAAAACTGCTCATTCAAAAGATAGGTTCAACTCTGTGGTTTGAATGCACACAGCACAAAGAAGTTTCACAGAATGTGTCTGTGTAGTTTTTATGTGCGGATGTTTCCTTTTCCACCATATGCCTAAATATTTCCCAATTTCCACTTGCAGATTCCACAAGAAGAGTGTTTCAAAACTGCTGTATCAAATAAAGTTGAACTCTGTGAGGTGAATGCACACAGCACAAAATGGTTTCTCAGAATGCTTCCTTGTTGTTTTTATATGAAGATGTTTCCTTTTCAACAATAGGCCTCAAAGTGCTTCAAATGTCCACTTGCAGATTCTACAAAAAGAGTGTTTCAAAACTGCTCAATCAAAAGAAAGGTTCGACTCTGGGAAATTAATGCACACATCACAAAGAAGTTTCTCAGCTTCTGTGTAGTTTTCATGTGAAGTTATTTCCTTTTCCACAATAGGCCGCAAAGGACTCCAAATATCAACTTACAGATTCTAGGAAAAGAGAGTTTCAAAACTGCTCTACGAAAAGATAGGTTGAACTCTGTGAGATGAATGCACACATCACAAAGAAGTTTCTCAGAATGCATCTGTGTAGTTTTTACGGGAAGACATTTCCTTTTCCACCATCTTCCACAAAGGTCTCCAAGTAACCACTTGCAGATTCTACAGAAAGACACTTTAAAAACTGCTCTATCAAAAGATCAGTTCAAGTCTGTGGTTTGAATGCACACATCACAAAGAATTTTCTCAGAATGCTTCTGTGTAGTTTTCATATGAAGATATTTCCTTTTCCACCGTAGGCCTCAAAGCACTCCAAATATCCACTTGCAGATTCTACAAAAAGAGATTTTCAAAACTAGTCAATCAAAAGAAAGGTTCAACTCTGTCAGTTGAATGCACATATCACAAACAAGTTTCTCGGAATGCGTCTGTGTAGTTTTTATGTGAAGATATTTCCTTCTCCACAACAGGCCTCAAAGTGCTCCGAATATCCACTTGCAGATTTTACTAAAGAGTGTTTCCAAACTGCTCAATCAAGAGGAAGTTTCAAGTCTGTGAGCTGAACGCACACATCACAAAGTAGTTTCTGAGAATGCTTCTGTGTAGTTTTTATGTGAAGATGTTTCCTTTTCCACCATAGGCTGCAAAGGGCTCCAAATATCCACTTGCAGATTCTACAAAAAGAGAGTTTCAAAAGTGCTCTATCAAAAGATAGGTTCAACTATGTGATATGAATGCACACATCACAAAGTAGTTTCTCAGAATGCTTCTGTGTAGTTTTTATGTAAAGATATTTCCTTTTCCACCATAGGCCTCAAAGCACTCCAAATATCCACTTGCAGATTCTACAAAAAGAGATTTTCAAAACTATTTAATCAAAAGAAAGGTTCAAATCTGTCAGTTGAAGGTACATATCACAAACAAGTTTATTGGAATGCTTCTGTGTAGTTTTTATGTGAAGATATTTCCTTTTCCACAACAGGCCTCAAGGTGCTCCAAATATCCACTTGCAGATTTCACTAAAAGTGTGTTTCCAAGCTGCTCAATCAAGAGGAAGTTTCAAGTCTGTGAGGTGAATGCACACATTACAAAGAAGTTACTGAGAATGCTTCTGTGTAGTTTTTATGTGAAGATATTTCCTTTTCCACCGCAGGCCTCAAAGCGCTGCAAATATCCACTTGCAGATTCTACAAAAAGAGAGTTTCAAAACTGCTGTATCAAAAGATAGGGTCAACTCTGCGAGTTGAATAAACACATCACAAATAAGTTTCTGGGAACGCTTCTGTATAGTTTTATGTGAATATATTTCCTTTTCCACCATATGCCTCAAAGCACTCCAAATATCCACTTGCACATTATAGAAACATAGTCTTTCAAAACTTGTCAATCAAAGAAAGGTTCAACTCCGTGAGATGAGTGCACACATCACAGAGAAGTTTCTCGGAATGTTTCTGTGTAGTTTTTATGTGAAGATATTGCCTTTTCCACAATAGGCCTCAAAGCGTTCCAAATATCCAATTGCAGATTCCACAAAAAAAGTTTTTTAAAACTGCTCAATCAAATGATAGATTAAACTCTGTGAGATTAGTGCACACATGTCAAAAAAGTTTCTCAGAATGCTTCTGTGTACTTTTTAGGGGAAGATATTTCCTTTTCCACCATCGGCCACAAAGGACTCCAAATAACCACATGCAGATTCTAGTAACACAGAGTTTCAAAACTGCTCTATCAAAAGATAAGTTCAACTCTGAGAGTTTAGTGCAACCCATCGTGAAGAAGTTTCTCAGAATGCTTCTGAGTAGTGTTTATGTGAAGATATTTCCTTTTCCACCATAGGCCTGAAAGCCCTCCAAATATCCACTTGCAGATCCTACAAAAAGAAAGTTTCGAAATGCTCTCTCAAACGATAGTTTCGACTCTGTGGTATGAATACACACATCACAAAGAAGTTTCTCAGAATGCTTCTGTGTAGTTTTTAAATGAAGATATTTCTTTTTCCACCATAGGCCTCAAAGCACTCCAAATATGCACTTCCAGATTCTACAAAAAGAGTGTTTCAGAACTGCTCAAACAAAAGGAAGGTTCCAGTCTGAGACAAATGCACACATCAAAAGGTAATTTCTCAGAATGCTTCTGTGTAGTTTTTATGTGAAGATATTTTCCTTTCCACCATAGGCCACAAATGGCTCTAAATACCCACTTGCATTTTCCACAGAAAGAGAGTTTCAAAACTGCTCTACCAAAGGTAAGTTTAACGCTGTGAGTTAAGAACATCACAAAGAAGTTTCTCAGAATGCTTCTGTGTAGTTCTTATGTAAAGATATTTCCTTTTACACAATAGGCAGAAAAGTGCTCCAAATATCCACTTGAAGATTCTACAAAAACCGTGTTTCAAAACTGCCGAATCAAAAGAAAGTTTCAACTCTGTGAGATGAATGCACACATAACAAAGGAGTTTCTCAGAATGCTTCTGTGTAGCTTTTATATGAAGATATTTAGTTTTCCACAACAGGCCTCAAAGCTCTCTCCATATCCACTTGCAGATTCTACCGAAAGAGTGCTTCCAAACTGCTCAATCAAAAGAGACATTCAAATCTGTGAGGTGAATGCAGACATCGTAAAGAAGTTTCTCAGAATGCTTCTGTGTATTTTTTGTGTGAAGTTATTCGTTTTTGCACCATAGGCCTCCAAGCGTTCTAAATATCCACTTCTAGATTCTACAAAAAGAGAGTTTCAAAACTACTCAAACAAAAGGTTCAATTCTGTGAGTTGAAAGCAAACATCACAAAGAAGTTTCTCAGAATGCGTCTGTGTAGTTTTTATGTGAAGATATTTCCTTTTCACAGTAGAATGCAAAGGGCTCCAAATATCCACTTGGAGATTCTACAAAAAGAGTTTCAAAACCGCTCTGTCAAATGATAGGTTGAACTCCCGGAGGTGAATACACACATCACAAAGAGGTTTCTCAGCATGCTTCTGTGTAGTTTTTATGTAAACATATTTCCGTTTCTATCATAGGCCTCAAAGTGCTCCAAATATTCACTTGTACATTCTACCAAACGAGTATTTCAAAACTGCTCAATCAAATGGAAGGTTCAAAACCGTGACATGAATGCCCACATCACAAAGTAGTTTCTCAGAATGCTTCTGTGTAGTTTTTATGTGAAGATATTTCCTTTTCCACAACAGCGTGCAAAACGCTTCAAATATGCCCTTAGAGATTCCACAAAAAGAGTGTTTCCAAACTACTCAAATCAAAAAATGATTTCAACTCTGTGAGATGAATGCACACATCACAAACTAGTTTCTCAGAATGTTTCTGCCTGGTTCTCATGCGAAGATAGTCCTTTTTCACCATAGGCCGCAATGTACTCCAAATATCCACCTGCAGATTCTACAAAAGTGAGTTTCAAAACTGCTCTATCAAAAGATCAGTTCGTCTCTGTGAGTTGAATGCATACATCAAAAAGAAGCTTCTCAAAATGCTTCTGTGTGGTTTTTCGGTGAAGATAGTTCTTTTTCTACCATAGGTCTCAAACCACTCCAAATATCCACTTGTAGATTCTATAAAAAGGAATGTTCAAAATTGCTCAATAAAAATAAAGTTTCAACACCGTGAGATGAGTGCACAAATCACAAAGGAGTTTCTCAAAATGCTTCTGGGTAGTTTTTCTGTGAAGATAGTTCCTTTTCTACCATGGGCCACAAAGGGCTCCAAATACCCACTTGCAGATTCTACAAAAAGAGAGTTTCACAACTGCTCTATCAAACAATATGTTCAACTTTGTGGGTTGAACACAAATATCACAAGAATTTTCTCCCAATGCTTCTGTGTAGTTTTTATGTGAAGACATTTCTTTTCCCTCCATAGTCCACAAAGTGCTCCAAATATCCACTTACATATTCTAGAAAAAGATTGCTTGGAAACTGCACAATGAAAAGAAAGGTTCAAATATATGAGATGAATGCACACATCACAAAGAAGTTTCTCAGAATCTCTCTGTGTAATTTTTATGTGAAGATATTTCCTTTCCCACCTTAGGTCTTAAAACGCTCCAAATATCCACTTGCAGATACTACAAGAAGATTGTTTCAAAACTGCACAAAAAAAGAAATGTTCAATTCTGTTTGATGAATGCACACATCACAAAGAAGTTTCTCAGAATGCTTCTCTGTAGTTTTTATGTGAAGATATTTCCTTTTCCACAATAGGCCTCAAAGGGCTCCAAATATCCACTTCCAGATTCTATGAAAAGAATATTTCCAAACTGCTCAATCATAGGAAATGTTCAACTCTGTGAGATGAATGCACACATCACAAGAAATTTCTCAGAATCCTTCAGTGTAGGTTTTATGAGAAGATAATTCCTTTTCCACAATAGTTCTCAAAGCACTCAAAATATCCACTTGCAGATTCTACAAAAGGAGTATTTCAAAACTGCTCAATCAAAAGAAAGGTTCAACTCTGTGGGATGAATGGACACATCACAAAGAAGTTTCTCAGAATGCTTCTGTGTAGTATTTTTGTGAAGATATTTCTTTTCCACCATAGACCGCCAGGGGACACAAATATCCACTTTCAGATTCTACAACAAGAGAGGTTCAAAACTACTCGATCAAGAGATGGTTTCAACTATGTGAGTTGAATGCACACATCACAAAGAACTATGTCGGAATTCTTCTGTGTAGTTTTTATGTGAAGATATTTCCTTTTCCACAATAGACGTCAAAGTGATCCAGATATCCACTTGCAGATTCCACAAAAAGAGTGTTTCAAAAGTGCACAACCAAAAGAAAGGTTCAACTAGGTGAGATGAATGCACACATCAGAAGGAAGTTTCTCAGAATGCTTCTGCATAGCTTTTAAGGGAAGATACTTCCTTTTCCAACATAGGCCTCAAAGCACTCCAAATATCCTCCTGGAGATACCACAAAAAGAGTGTTTGCAAACTGCTCAATCAAAAGAAAGATTTAACTCTGTGAGATGAATCCACACATGACAAAGAAGTTTCTCAGAATGCTTCTGTGTAGTTTTTATGTGAAGATATTTCCTTTTCCACAATAAGACCCAAAAGGCTCCAAATATTCACTTGCAGATTCTAAAAAAAACAGTGTTTCAAAACTGCTCAATCAAAAGATAGTTCAACTCTGTGAGAAGAATGCTCACATCACTGAGAAGTTTCTCAGAATGCTTCTGTGTAGTTTTTATGTGAAGATATTTCCTTTTCCACAATAAGACCCAAAAGGCTCCAAATATTCACTTGCAGATTCTAAAAAAAACAGTGTTTCAAAACTGCTCAATCAAAAGATAGTTCAACTCTGTGAGAAGAATGCTCACATCACTGAGAAGTTTCTCAGAATGCTTCTGTGTAGTTTTTATATGAAGATATTTCCTTTCCCACCGTAGGCCACAAAAGGCTCCAAATATCCACTTGCAGATACTATGAAAAGAGAGTTTCAAAACTGCTCATTCAAAAGATAGGTTCAACTCTGTGGTTTGAATGCACACAGCACAAAGAAGTTTCACAGAATGTGTCTGTGTAGTTTTTATGTGCGGATGTTTCCTTTTCCACCATATGCCTAAATATTTCCCAATTTCCACTTGCAGATTCCACAAGAAGAGTGTTTCAAAACTGCTGTATCAAATAAAGTTGAACTCTGTGAGGTGAATGCACACAGCACAAAATGGTTTCTCAGAATGCTTCCTTGTTGTTTTTATATGAAGATGTTTCCTTTTCAACAATAGGCCTCAAAGTGCTTCAAATGTCCACTTGCAGATTCTACAAAAAGAGTGTTTCAAAACTGCTCAATCAAAAGAAAGGTTCGACTCTGGGAAATTAATGCACACATCACAAAGAAGTTTCTCAGCTTCTGTGTAGTTTTCATGTGAAGTTATTTCCTTTTCCACAATAGGCCGCAAAGGGCTCCAAATATCAACTTACAGATTCTAGGAAAAGAGAGTTTCAAAACTGCTCTACGAAAAGATAGGTTGAACTCTGTGAGATGAATGCACACATCACAAAGAAGTTTCTCAGAATGCATCTGTGTAGTTTTTACGGGAAGACATTTCCTTTTCCACCATCTTCCACAAAGGTCTCCAAGTAACCACTTGCAGATTCTACAGAAAGACACTTTAAAAACTGCTCTATCAAAAGATCAGTTCAAGTCTGTGGTTTGAATGCACACATCACAAAGAATTTTCTCAGAATGCTTCTGTGTAGTTTTCATATGAAGATATTTCCTTTTCCACCATAGGCCTCAAAGCACTCCAAATATCCACTTGCAGATTCTACAAAAAGAGATTTTCAAAACTAGTCAATCAAAAGAAAGGTTCAACTCTGTCAGTTGAATGCACATATCACAAACAAGTTTCTCGGAATGCGTCTGTGTAGTTTTTATGTGAAGATATTTCCTTCTCCACAACAGGCCTCAAAGTGCTCCGAATATCCACTTGCAGATTTTACTAAAGAGTGTTTCCAAACTGCTCAATCAAGAGGAAGTTTCAAGTCTGTGAGCTGAACGCACACATCACAAAGTAGTTTCTGAGAATGCTTCTGTGTAGTTTTTATGTGAAGATGTTTCCTTTTCCACCATAGGCTGCAAAGGGCTCCAAATATCCACTTGCAGATTCTACAAAAAGAGAGTTTCAAAAGTGCTCTATCAAAAGATAGGTTCAACTATGTGATATGAATGCACACATCACAAAGTAGTTTCTCAGAATGCTTCTGTGTAGTTTTTATGTAAAGATATTTCCTTTTCCACCATAGGCCTCAAAGCACTCCAAATATCCACTTGCAGATTCTACAAAAAGAGATTTTCAAAACTATTTAATCAAAAGAAAGGTTCAAATCTGTCAGTTGAAGGTACATATCACAAACAAGTTTATTGGAATGCTTCTGTGTAGTTTTTATGTGAAGATATTTCCTTTTCCACAACAGGCCTCAAGGTGCTCCAAATATCCACTTGCAGATTTCACTAAAAGTGTGTTTCCAAGCTGCTCAATCAAGAGGAAGTTTCAAGTCTGTGAGGTGAATGCACACATTACAAAGAAGGTTACTGAGAATGCTTCTGTGTAGTTTTTATGTGAAGATATTTCCTTTTCCACCGCAGGCCTCAAAGCGCTGCAAATATCCACTTGCAGATTCTACAAAAAGAGAGTTTCAAAACTGCTGTATCAAAAGATAGGGTCAACTCTGCGAGTTGAATAAACACATCACAAATAAGTTTCTGGGAACGCTTCTGTATAGTTTTATGTGAATATATTTCCTTTTCCACCATATGCCTCAAAGCACTCCAAATATCCACTTGCACATTATAGAAACATAGTCTTTCAAAACTTGTCAATCAAAGAAAGGTTCAACTCCGTGAGATGAGTGCACACATCACAGAGAAGTTTCTCGGAATGTTTCTGTGTAGTTTTTATGTGAAGATATTGCCTTTTCCACAATAGGCCTCAAAGCGTTCCAAATATCCAATTGCAGATTCCACAAAAAAAGTTTTTTAAAACTGCTCAATCAAATGATAGATTAAACTCTGTGAGATTAGTGCACACATGTCAAAAAAGTTTCTCAGAATGCTTCTGTGTACTTTTTAGGGGAAGATATTTCCTTTTCCACCATCGGCCACAAAGGACTCCAAATAACCACATGCAGATTCTAGTAACACAGAGTTTCAAAACTGCTCTATCAAAAGATAAGTTCAACTCTGAGAGTTTAGTGCAACCATCGTGAAGAAGTTTCTCAGAATGCTTCTGAGTAGTGTTTATGTGAAGATATTTCCTTTTCCACCATAGGCCTGAAAGCCCTCCAAATATCCACTTGCAGATCCTACAAAAAGAAAGTTTCGAAATGCTCTCTCAAACGATAGTTTCGACTCTGTGGTATGAATACACACATCACAAAGAAGTTTCTCAGAATGCTTCTGTGTAGTTTTTAAATGAAGATATTTCTTTTTCCACCATAGGCCTCAAAGCACTCCAAATATGCACTTCCAGATTCTACAAAAAGAGTGTTTCAGAACTGCTCAATCAAAAGGAAGGTTCCAGTCTGAGACAAATACACACATCAAAAGGTAGTTTCTCAGAATGCTTCTGTGTAGTTTTTATGTGAAGATATTTTCCTTTCCACCATAGGCCACAAATGGCTCTAAATACCCACTTACATTTTCCACAAAAAGAGAGTTTCAAAACTGCTCTACCAAAGGTAAGTTTAACGCTGTGAGTTAAGAACATCACAAAGAAGTTTCTCAGAATGCTTCTGTGTAGTTCTTACGTAAAGATATTTCCTTTTACACAATAGGCAGAAAAGTGCTCCAAATATCCACTTGAAGATTCTACAAAAACCGTGTTTCAAAACTGCCGAATCAAAAGAAAGGTTCAACTCTGTGAGATGAATGCACACATAACAAAGGAGTTTCTCAGAATGCTTCTGTGTAGCTTTAATATGAAGACATTTAGTTTTCCACAACAGGCCTCAAAGCTCTCTCCATATCCACTTGCAGATTCTACCGAAAGAGTGCTTCCAAACTGCTCAATCAAAAGAGACATTCAAATCTGTGAGGTGAATGCAGACATCGTAAAGAAGTTTCTCAGAATGCTTCTGTGTATTTTTTGTGTGAAGTTATTCGTTTTTGCACCATAGGCCTCCAAGCGTTCTAAATATCCACTTCTAGATTCTACAAAAAGAGAGTTTCAAAACTACTCAAACAAAAGGTTCAATTCTGTGAGTTGAAAGCAAACATCACAAAGAAGTTTCTCAGAATGCGTCTGTGTAGTTTTGATGTGAAGATATTTCCTTTTCACAATAGAATGCAAAGGGCTCCAAATATCCACTTGGAGATTCTACAAAAAGAGTTTCAAAACCGCTCTGTCAAATGATAGGTTGAACTCCCGGAGGTGAATACACACATCACAAAGAGGTTTCTCAGCATGCTTCTGTGTAGTTTTTATGTAAACATATTTCCGTTTCTATCATAGGCCTCAAAGTGCTCCAAATATTCACTTGTACATTCTACCAAACGAGTATTTCAAAACTGCTCAATCAAATGGAAGGTTCAAAACTGTGACATGAATGCCCACATCACAAAGTAGTTTCTCAGAATGCTTCTGTGTAGTTTTTATGTGAAGATATTTCCTTTTCCACAATAGGTAACAAAGCGCTCTGAAGTTCCAATTGCACACCCTACAAAAAGAATGTTTCAAAACTGCTCAATCAAATGAAAGGTTACACTCTGTGAGATGAATGCACACATCACAAAGAAGTTTCTCAGAATGCTTCTGTGTAGTTTTTAGGGGAACACATTTCCTTTTCCACCATTGGCCACAAAAGGCTCCAAATAATCACACGCAGAATCTACAAAAAGAGAGTTTCAAAACTGCTGTATGAAAAGATAGGTTCAACTCTACGAGTTGAATGCACACATCACAAAGAAGTTTCTTAGAATTTTTCTGTGTAGTTTTTACCGGGAAGACATTTCCTTTTCCACCATCTTCCACAAAGGTCTCCAAGTAACCACTTGCAGATTCTACAGAAAGACACTTTAAAAACTGCTCTATCAAAAGATCAGTTCAAGTCTGTGGTTTGAATGCACACATCACAAAGAATTTTCTCAGAATGCTTCTGTGTAGTTTTCATATGAAGATATTTCCTTTTCCACCATAGGCCTCAAAGCACTCCAAATATCCACTTGCAGATTCTACAAAAAGAGATTTTCAAAACTAGTCAATCAAAAGAAAGGTTCAACTCTGTCAGTTGAATGCACATATCACAAACAAGTTTCTCGGAATGCGTCTGTGTAGTTTTTATGTGAAGATATTTCCTTCTCCACAACAGGCCTCAAAGTGCTCCGAATATCCACTTGCAGATTTTACTAAAGAGTGTTTCCAAACTGCTCAATCAAGAGGAAGTTTCAAGTCTGTGAGCTGAACGCACACATCACAAAGTAGTTTCTGAGAATGCTTCTGTGTAGTTTTTATGTGAAGATGTTTCCTTTTCCACCATAGGCTGCAAAGGGCTCCAAATATCCACTTGCAGATTCTACAAAAAGAGAGTTTCAAAAGTGCTCTATCAAAAGATAGGTTCAACTATGTGATATGAATGCACACATCACAAAGTAGTTTCTCAGAATGCTTCTGTGTAGTTTTTATGTAAAGATATTTCCTTTTCCACCATAGGCCTCAAAGCACTCCAAATATCCACTTGCAGATTCTACAAAAAGAGATTTTCAAAACTATTTAATCAAAAGAAAGGTTCAAATCTGTCAGTTGAAGGTACATATCACAAACAAGTTTATTGGAATGCTTCTGTGTAGTTTTTATGTGAAGATATTTCCTTTTCCACAACAGGCCTCAAGGTGCTCCAAATATCCACTTGCAGATTTCACTAAAAGTGTGTTTCCAAGCTGCTCAATCAAGAGGAAGTTTCAAGTCTGTGAGGTGAATGCACACATTACAAAGAAGTTACTGAGAATGCTTCTGTGTAGTTTTTATGTGAAGATATTTCCTTTTCCACCGCAGGCCTCAAAGCGCTGCAAATATCCACTTGCAGATTCTACAAAAAGAGAGTTTCAAAACTGCTGTATCAAAAGATAGGGTCAACTCTGCGAGTTGAATAAACACATCACAAATAAGTTTCTGGGAACGCTTCTGTATAGTTTTATGTGAATATATTTCCTTTTCCACCATATGCCTCAAAGCACTCCAAATATCCACTTGCACATTATAGAAACATAGTCTTTCAAAACTTGTCAATCAAAGAAAGGTTCAACTCCGTGAGATGAGTGCACACATCACAGAGAAGTTTCTCGGAATGTTTCTGTGTAGTTTTTATGTGAAGATATTGCCTTTTCCACAATAGGCCTCAAAGCGTTCCAAATATCCAATTGCAGATTCCACAAAAAAAGTTTTTTAAAACTGCTCAATCAAATGATAGATTAAACTCTGTGAGATTAGTGCACACATGTCAAAAAAGTTTCTCAGAATGCTTCTGTGTACTTTTTAGGGGAAGATATTTCCTTTTCCACCATCGGCCACAAAGGACTCCAAATAACCACATGCAGATTCTAGTAACACAGAGTTTCAAAACTGCTCTATCAAAAGATAAGTTCAACTCTGAGAGTTTAGTGCAACCATCGTGAAGAAGTTTCTCAGAATGCTTCTGAGTAGTGTTTATGTGAAGATATTTCCTTTTCCACCATAGGCCTGAAAGCCCTCCAAATATCCACTTGCAGATCCTACAAAAAGAAAGTTTCGAAATGCTCTCTCAAACGATAGTTTCGACTCTGTGGTATGAATACACACATCACAAAGAAGTTTCTCAGAATGCTTCTGTGTAGTTTTTAAATGAAGATATTTCTTTTTTCCACCATAGGCCTCAAAGCACTCCAAATATGCACTTCCAGATTCTACAAAAAGAGTGTTTCAGAACTGCTCAATCAAAAGGAAGGTTCCAGTCTGAGACAAATACACACATCAAAAGGTAGTTTCTCAGAATGCTTCTGTGTAGTTTTTATGTGAAGATATTTTCCTTTCCACCATAGGCCACAAATGGCTCTAAATACCCACTTACATTTTCCACAAAAAGAGAGTTTCAAAACTGCTCTACCAAAGGTAAGTTTAACGCTGTGAGTTAAGAACATCACAAAGAAGTTTCTCAGAATGCTTCTGTGTAGTTCTTACGTAAAGATATTCCTTTTACACAATAGGCAGAAAAGTGCTCCAAATATCCACTTGAAGATTCTACAGAAACCGTGTTTCAAAACTGCCGAATCAAAAGAAAGGTTCAACTCTGTGAGATGAATGCACACATAACAAAGGAGTTTCTCAGAATGCTTCTGTGTAGCTTTTATATGAAGACATTTAGTTTTCCACAACAGGCCTCAAAGCTCTCTCCATATCCACTTGCAGATTCTACCGAAAGAGTGCTTCCAAACTGCTCAATCAAAAGAGACATTCAAATCTGTGAGGTGAATGCAGACATCGTAAAGAAGTTTCTCAGAATGCTTCTGTGTATTTTTTGTGTGAAGTTATTCGTTTTTGCACCATAGGCCTCCAAGCGTTCTAAATATCCACTTCTAGATTCTACAAAAAGAGAGTTTCAAAACTACTCAAACAAAAGGTTCAATTCTGTGAGTTGAAAGCAAACATCACAAAGAAGTTTCTCAGAATGCGTTCTGTGTAGTTTTGATGTGAAGATATTTCCTTTTCACAGTAGAATGCAAAGGGCTCCAAATATCCACTTGGAGATTCTACAAAAAGAGTTTCAAAACCGCTCTGTCAAATGATAGGTTGAACTCCCGGAGGTGAATACACACATCACAAAGAGGTTTCTCAGCATGCTTCTGTGTAGTTTTTATGTAAACATATTTCCGTTTCTATCATAGGCCTCAAAGTGCTCCAAATATTCACTTGTACATTCTACCAAACGAGTATTTCAAAACTGCTCAATCAAATGGAAGGTTCAAAACCGTGACATGAATGCCCACATCACAAAGTAGTTTCTCAGAATGCTTCTGTGTAGTTTTTATGTGAAGATATTTCCTTTTCCACAACAGCGTGCAAAACGCTTCAAATATGCCCTTAGAGATTCCACAAAAAGAGTGTTTCCAAACTACTCAAATCAAAAAATGATTTCAACTCTGTGAGATGAATGCACACATCACAAACTAGTTTCTCAGAATGTTTCTGCCTGGTTCTCATGCGAAGATAGTTCCTTTTTCACCATAGGCCGCAATGTACTCCAAATATCCACCTGCAGATTCTACAAAAGTGAGTTTCAAAACTGCTCTATCAAAAGATCAGTTCGTCTCTGTGAGTTGAATGCATACATCAAAAAGAAGCTTCTCAAAATGCTTCTGTGTGGTTTTTCGGTGAAGATAGTTCTTTTTCTACCATAGGTCTCAAACCACTCCAAATATCCACTTGTAGATTCTATAAAAAGGAATGTTCAAAATTGCTCAATAAAAATAAAGTTTCAACACCGTGAGATGAGTGCACAAATCACAAAGAAGTTTCTCAAAATGCTTCTGGGTAGTTTTTCTGTGAAGATAGTTCCTTTTCTACCATGGGCCACAAAGGGCTCCAAATACCCACTTGCAGATTCTACAAAAAGAGAGTTTCACAACTGCTCTATCAAACAATATGTTCAACTTTGTGGGTTGAACACAAATATCACAAGAATTTTCTCCCAATGCTTCTGTGTAGTTTTTATGTGAAGACATTTCTTTTCCCTCCATAGTCCACAAAGTGCTCCAAATATCCACTTACATATTCTAGAAAAAGATTGCTTGGAAACTGCACAATGAAAAGAAAGGTTCAAATATATGAGATGAATGCACACATCACAAAGAAGTTTCTCAGAATCTCTCTGTGTAATTTTTATGTGAAGATATTTCCTTTCCCACCTTAGGTCTTAAAACGCTCCAAATATCCACTTGCAGATACTACAAGATTGTTTCAAAACTGCACAAAAAAAGAAATGTTCAATTCTGTTTGATGAATGCACACATCACAAAGAAGTTTCTCAGAATGCTTCTCTGTAGTTTTTATGTGAAGATATTTCCTTTTCCACAATAGGCCTCAAAGGGCTCCAAATATCCACTTCCAGATTCTATGAAAAGAATATTTCCAAACTGCTCAATCATAGGAAATGTTCAACTCTGTGAGATGAATGCACACATCACAAGAAATTTCTCAGAATCCTTCAGTGTAGGTTTTATGAGAAGATAATTCCTTTTCCACAATAGTTCTCAAAGCACTCAAAATATCCACTTGCAGATTCTACAAAAGGAGTATTTCAAAACTGCTCAATCAAAAGAAAGGTTCAACTCTGTGAGATGAATGGACACATCACAAAGAAGTTTCTCAGAATGCTTCTGTGTAGTATTTTTGTGAAGATATTTCTTTTCCACCATAGACCGCCAGGGGACACAAATATCCACTTTCAGATTCTACAACAAGAGAGGTTCAAAACTACTCGATCAAGAGATGGTTTCAACTATGTGAGTTGAATGCACACATCACAAAGAACTATGTCGGAATTCTTCTGTGTAGTTTTTATGTGAAGATATTTCCTTTTCCACAATAGACGTCAAAGTGATCCAGATATCCACTTGCAGATTCCACAAAAAGAGTGTTTCAAAAGTGCACAACCAAAAGAAAGGTTCAACTAGGTGAGATGAATGCACACATCAGAAGGAAGTTTCTCAGAATGCTTCTGCATAGCTTTTAAGGGAAGATACTTCCTTTTCCAACATAGGCCTCAAAGCACTCCAAATATCCTCCTGGAGATACCACAAAAAGAGTGTTTGCAAACTGCTCAATCAAAAGAAAGATTTAACTCTGTGAGATGAATCCACACATGACAAAGAAGTTTCTCAGAATGCTTCTGTGTAGTTTTTATGTGAAGATATTTCCTTTTCCACAATAAGCCCCAAAAGGCTCCAAATATTCACTTGCAGATTCTAAAAAAACAGTGTTTCAAAACTGCTCAATCAAAAGAAAGGTTCAACTCTGTGAGAAGAATGCTCACATCACTGAGAAGTTTCTCAGAATGCTTCTGTGTAGTTTTTATATGAAGATATTTCCTTTCCCACCGTAGGCCACAAAAGGCTCCAAATATCCACTTGCAGATACTATGAAAAGAGAGTTTCAAAACTGCTCATTCAAAAGATAGGTTCAACTACTGTGGTTTGAATGCACACAGCACAAAGAAGTTTCACAGAATGTGTCTGTGTAGTTTTTATGTGCGGATGTTTCCTTTTCCACCATATGCCTAAATATTTCCCAATTTCCACTTGCAGATTCTACAAGAAGAGTGTTTCAAAACTGCTGTATCAAATAAAGTTGAACTCTGTGAGGTGAATGCACACAGCACAAAATGGTTTCTCAGAATGCTTCCTTGTTGTTTTTATATGAAGATGTTTCCTTTTCAACAATAGGCCTCAAAGTGCTTCAAATGTCCACTTGCAGATTCTACAAAAAGAGTGTTTCAAAACTGCTCAATCAAAAGAAAGGTTCGACTCTGGGAAATTAATGCACACATCACAAAGAAGTTTCTCAGCTTCTGTGTAGTTTTCATGTGAAGTTATTTCCTTTTCCACAATAGGCCGCAAAGGGCTCCAAATATCAACTTACAGATTCTAGGAAAAGAGAGTTTCAAAACTGCTCTACAAAAAGATAGGTTGAACTCTGTGAGATGAATGCACACATCACAAAGAAGTTTCTCAGAATGCATCTGTGTAGTTTTTACGGGAAGACATTTCCTTTTCCACCATCTTCCACAAAGGTCTCCAAGTAACCACTTGCAGATTCTACAGAAAGACACTTTAAAAACTGCTCTATCAAAAGATCAGTTCAAGTCTGTGGTTTGAATGCACACATCACAAAGAATTTTCTCAGAATGCTTCTGTGTAGTTTTCATATGAAGATATTTCCTTTTCCACCGTAGGCCTCAAAGCACTCCAAATATCCACTTGCAGATTCTACAAAAAGAGATTTTCAAAACTAGTCAATCAAAAGAAAGGTTCAACTCTGTCAGTTGAATGCACATATCACAAACAAGTTTCTCGGAATGCGTCTGTGTAGTTTTTATGTGAAGATATTTCCTTCTCCACAACAGGCCTCAAAGTGCTCCGAATATCCACTTGCAGATTTTACTAAAGAGTGTTTCCAAACTGCTCAATCAAGAGGAAGTTTCAAGTCTGTGAGCTGAACGCACACATCACAAAGTAGTTTCTGAGAATGCTTCTGTGTAGTTTTTATGTGAAGATGTTTCCTTTTCCACCATAGGCTGCAAAGGGCTCCAAATATCCACTTGCAGATTCTACAAAAAGAGAGTTTCAAAAGTGCTCTATCAAAAGATAGGTTCAACTATGTGATATGAATGCACACATCACAAAGTAGTTTCTCAGAATGCTTCTGTGTAGTTTTTATGTAAAGATATTTCCTTTTCCACCATAGGCCTCAAAGCACTCCAAATATCCACTTGCAGATTCTACAAAAAGAGATTTTCAAAACTATTTAATCAAAAGAAAGGTTCAAATCTGTCAGTTGAAGGTACATATCACAAACAAGTTTATTGGAATGCTTCTGTGTAGTTTTTATGTGAAGATATTTCCTTTTCCACAACAGGCCTCAAGGTGCTCCAAATATCCACTTGCAGATTTCACTAAAAGTGTGTTTCCAAGCTGCTCAATCAAGTAGGAAGTTTCAAGTCTGTGAGGTGAATGCACACATTACAAAGAAGTTACTGAGAATGCTTCTGTGTAGTTTTTATGTGAAGATATTTCCTTTTCCACCGCAGGCCTCAAAGCGCTGCAAATATCCACTTGCAGATTCTACAAAAAGAGAGTTTCAAAACTGCTGTATCAAAAGATAGGGTCAACTCTGCGAGTTGAATAAACACATCACAAATAAGTTTCTGGGAACGCTTCTGTATAGTTTTATGTGAATATATTTCCTTTTCCACCATATGCCTCAAAGCACTCCAAATATCCACTTGCACATTATAGAAACATAGTCTTTCAAAACTTGTCAATCAAAGAAAGGTTCAACTCCGTGAGATGAGTGCACACATCACAGAGAAGTTTCTCGGAATGTTTCTGTGTAGTTTTTATGTGAAGATATTGCCTTTTCCACAATAGGCCTCAAAGCGTTCCAAATATCCAATTGCAGATTCCACAAAAAAAGTTTTTTAAAACTGCTCAATCAAATGATAGATTAAACTCTGTGAGATTAGTGCACACATGTCAAAAAAGTTTCTCAGAATGCTTCTGTGTACTTTTTAGGGGAAGATATTTCCTTTTCCACCATCGGTCACAAAGGACTCCAAATAACCACATGCAGATTCTAGTAACACAGAGTTTCAAAACTGCTCTATCAAAAGATAAGTTCAACTCTGAGAGTTTAGTGCAACCATCGTGAAGAAGTTTCTCAGAATGCTTCTGAGTAGTGTTTATGTGAAGATATTTCCTTTTCCACCATAGGCCTGAAAGCCCTCCAAATATCCACTTGCAGATCCTACAAAAAGAAAGTTTCGAAATGCTCTCTCAAACGATAGTTTCGACTCTGTGGTATGAATACACACATCACAAAGAAGTTTCTCAGAATGCTTCTGTGTAGTTTTTAAATGAAGATATTTCTTTTTCCACCATAGGCCTCAAAGCACTCCAAATATGCACTTCCAGATTCTACAAAAAGAGTGTTTCAGAACTGCTCAAACAAAAGGAAGGTTCCAGTCTGAGACAAATGCACACATCAAAAGGTAATTTCTCAGAATGCTTCTGTGTAGTTTTTATGTGAAGATATTTTCCTTTCCACCATAGGCCACAAATGGCTCTAAATACCCACTTGCATTTTCCACAGAAAGAGAGTTTCAAAACTGCTCTACCAAAGGTAAGTTTAACGCTGTGAGTTAAGAACATCACAAAGAAGTTTCTCAGAATGCTTCTGTGTAGTTCTTACGTAAAGATATTCCTTTTACACAATAGGCAGAAAAGTGCTCCAAATATCCACTTGAAGATTCTACAGAAACCGTGTTTCAAAACTGCCGAATCAAAAGAAAGGTTCAACTCTGTGAGATGAATGCACACATAACAAAGGAGTTTCTCAGAATGCTTCTGTGTAGCTTTTATATGAAGACATTTAGTTTTCCACAACAGGCCTCAAAGCTCTCTCCATATCCACTTGCAGATTCTACCGAAAGAGTGCTTCCAAACTGCTCAATCAAAAGAGACATTCAAATCTGTGAGGTGAATGCAGACATCGTAAAGAAGTTTCTCAGAATGCTTCTGTGTATTTTTTGTGTGAAGTTATTCGTTTTTGCACCATAGGCCTCCAAGCGTTCTAAATATCCACTTCTAGATTCTACAAAAAGAGAGTTTCAAAACTACTCAAACAAAAGGTTCAATTCTGTGAGTTGAAAGCAAACATCACAAAGAAGTTTCTCAGAATGCGTCTGTGTAGTTTTGATGTGAAGATATTTCCTTTTCACAGTAGAATGCAAAGGGCTCCAAATATCCACTTGGAGATTCTACAAAAAGAGTTTCAAAACCGCTCTGTCAAATGATAGGTTGAACTCCCGGAGGTGAATACACACATCACAAAGAGGTTTCTCAGCATGCTTCTGTGTAGTTTTTATGTAAACATATTTCCGTTTCTATCATAGGCCTCAAGTGCTCCAAATATTCACTTGTACATTCTACCAAACGAGTATTTCAAAACTGCTCAATCAAATGGAAGGTTCAAAACCGTGACATGAATGCCCACATCACAAAGTAGTTTCTCAGAATGCTTCTGTGTAGTTTTTATGTGAAGATATTTCCTTTTCCACAACAGCGTGCAAAACGCTTCAAATATGCCCTTAGAGATTCCACAAAAAGAGTGTTTCCAAACTACTCAAATCAAAAAATGATTTCAACTCTGTGAGATGAATGCACACATCACAAACTAGTTTCTCAGAATGTTTCTGCCTGGTTCTCATGCGAAGAATAGTTCCTTTTTCACCATAGGCCGCAATGTACTCCAAATATCCACCTGCAGATTCTACAAAAGTGAGTTTCAAAACTGCTCTATCAAAAGATCAGTTCGTCTCTGTGAGTTGAATGCATACATCAAAAAGAAGCTTCTCAAAATGCTTCTGTGTGGTTTTTCGGTGAAGATAGTTCTTTTTCTACCATAGGTCTCAAACCACTCCAAATATCCACTTGTAGATTCTATAAAAAGGAATGTTCAAAATTGCTCAATAAAAATAAAGTTTCAACACCGTGAGATGAGTGCACAAATCACAAAGGAGTTTCTCAAAATGCTTCTGGGTAGTTTTTCTGTGAAGATAGTTCCTTTTCTACCATGGGCCACAAAGGGCTCCAAATACCCACTTGCAGATTCTACAAAAAGAGAGTTTCACAACTGCTCTATCAAACAATATGTTCAACTTTGTGGGTTGAACACAAATATCACAAGAATTTTCTCCCAATGCTTCTGTGTAGTTTTTATGTGAAGACATTTCTTTTCCCTCCATAGTCCACAAAGTGCTCCAAATATCCACTTACATATTCTAGAAAAAGATTGCTTGGAAACTGCACAATGAAAAGAAAGGTTCAAATATATGAGATGAATGCACACATCACAAAGAAGTTTCTCAGAATCTCTCTGTGTAATTTTTATGTGAAGATATTTCCTTTCCCACCTTAGGTCTTAAAACGCTCCAAATATCCACTTGCAGATACTACAAGAAGATTGTTTCAAAACTGCACAAAAAAAGAAATGTTCAATTCTGTTTGATGAATGCACACATCACAAAGAAGTTTTCTCAGAATGCTTCTCTGTAGTTTTTATGTGAAGATATTTCCTTTTCCACAATAGGCCTCAAAGGGCTCCAAATATCCACTTCCAGATTCTATGAAAAGAATATTTCCAAACTGCTCAATCATAGGAAATGTTCAACTCTGTGAGATGAATGCACACATCACAAGAAATTTCTCAGAATCCTTCAGTGTAG
The DNA here is from genome assembly GCF_000001405.40 of Homo sapiens. Lineage (NCBI taxonomy): Eukaryota > Metazoa > Chordata > Mammalia > Primates > Hominidae > Homo > Homo sapiens. The sequence continues at coordinate 10,515,779 of NC_000024.10, read as the reverse complement.
GTTTTATGAGAAGATAATTCCTTTTCCACAATAGTTCTCAAAGCACTCAAAATATCCACTTGCAGATTCTACAAAAGGAGTATTTCAAAACTGCTCAATCAAAAGAAAGGTTCAACTCTGTGAGATGAATGGACACATCACAAAGAAGTTTCTCAGAATGCTTCTGTGTAGTATTTTTGTGAAGATATTTCTTTTCCACCATAGACCGCCAGGGGACACAAATATCCACTTTCAGATTCTACAACAAGAGAGGTTCAAAACTACTCGATCAAGAGATGGTTTCAACTATGTGAGTTGAATGCACACATCACAAAGAACTATGTCGGAATTCTTCTGTGTAGTTTTTATGTGAAGATATTTCCTTTTCCACAATAGACGTCAAAGTGATCCAGATATCCACTTGCAGATTCCACAAAAAGAGTGTTTCAAAAGTGCACAACCAAAAGAAAGGTTCAACTAGGTGAGATGAATGCACACATCAGAAGGAAGTTTCTCAGAATGCTTCTGCATAGCTTTTAAGGGAAGATACTTCCTTTTCCAACATAGGCCTCAAAGCACTCCAAATATCCTCCTGGAGATACCACAAAAAGAGTGTTTGCAAACTGCTCAATCAAAAGAAAGATTTAACTCTGTGAGATGAATCCACACATGACAAAGAAGTTTCTCAGAATGCTTCTGTGTAGTTTTTATGTGAAGATATTTCCTTTTCCACAATAAGACCCAAAAGGCTCCAAATATTCACTTGCAGATTCTAAAAAAAACAGTGTTTCAAAACTGCTCAATCAAAAGATAGTTCAACTCTGTGAGAAGAATGCTCACATCACTGAGAAGTTTCTCAGAATGCTTCTGTGTAGTTTTTATATGAAGATATTTCCTTTCCCACCGTAGGCCACAAAAGGCTCCAAATATCCACTTGCAGATACTATGAAAAGAGAGTTTCAAAACTGCTCATTCAAAAGATAGGTTCAACTCTGTGGTTTGAATGCACACAGCACAAAGAAGTTTCACAGAATGTGTCTGTGTAGTTTTTATGTGCGGATGTTTCCTTTTCCACCATATGCCTAAATATTTCCCAATTTCCACTTGCAGATTCCACAAGAAGAGTGTTTCAAAACTGCTGTATCAAATAAAGTTGAACTCTGTGAGGTGAATGCACACAGCACAAAATGGTTTCTCAGAATGCTTCCTTGTTGTTTTTATATGAAGATGTTTCCTTTTCAACAATAGGCCTCAAAGTGCTTCAAATGTCCACTTGCAGATTCTACAAAAAGAGTGTTTCAAAACTGCTCAATCAAAAGAAAGGTTCGACTCTGGGAAATTAATGCACACATCACAAAGAAGTTTCTCAGCTTCTGTGTAGTTTTCATGTGAAGTTATTTCCTTTTCCACAATAGGCCGCAAAGGGCTCCAAATATCAACTTACAGATTCTAGGAAAAGAGAGTTTCAAAACTGCTCTACGAAAAGATAGGTTGAACTCTGTGAGATGAATGCACACATCACAAAGAAGTTTCTCAGAATGCATCTGTGTAGTTTTTACGGGAAGACATTTCCTTTTCCACCATCTTCCACAAAGGTCTCCAAGTAACCACTTGCAGATTCTACAGAAAGACACTTTAAAAACTGCTCTATCAAAAGATCAGTTCAAGTCTGTGGTTTGAATGCACACATCACAAAGAATTTTCTCAGAATGCTTCTGTGTAGTTTTCATATGAAGATATTTCCTTTTCCACCATAGGCCTCAAAGCACTCCAAATATCCACTTGCAGATTCTACAAAAAGAGATTTTCAAAACTAGTCAATCAAAAGAAAGGTTCAACTCTGTCAGTTGAATGCACATATCACAAACAAGTTTCTCGGAATGCGTCTGTGTAGTTTTTATGTGAAGATATTTCCTTCTCCACAACAGGCCTCAAAGTGCTCCGAATATCCACTTGCAGATTTTACTAAAGAGTGTTTCCAAACTGCTCAATCAAGAGGAAGTTTCAAGTCTGTGAGCTGAACGCACACATCACAAAGTAGTTTCTGAGAATGCTTCTGTGTAGTTTTTATGTGAAGATGTTTCCTTTTCCACCATAGGCTGCAAAGGGCTCCAAATATCCACTTGCAGATTCTACAAAAAGAGAGTTTCAAAAGTGCTCTATCAAAAGATAGGTTCAACTATGTGATATGAATGCACACATCACAAAGTAGTTTCTCAGAATGCTTTCTGTGTAGTTTTTATGTAAAGATATTTCCTTTTCCACCATAGGCCTCAAAGCACTCCAAATATCCACTTGCAGATTCTACAAAAAGAGATTTTCAAAACTATTTAATCAAAAGAAAGGTTCAAATCTGTCAGTTGAAGGTACATATCACAAACAAGTTTATTGGAATGCTTCTGTGTAGTTTTTATGTGAAGATATTTCCTTTTCCACAACAGGCCTCAAGGTGCTCCAAATATCCACTTGCAGATTTCACTAAAAGTGTGTTTCCAAGCTGCTCAATCAAGTAGGAAGTTTCAAGTCTGTGAGGTGAATGCACACATTACAAAGAAGTTACTGAGAATGCTTCTGTGTAGTTTTTATGTGAAGATATTTCCTTTTCCACCGCAGGCCTCAAAGCGCTGCAAATATCCACTTGCAGATTCTACAAAAAGAGAGTTTCAAAACTGCTGTATCAAAAGATAGGGTCAACTCTGCGAGTTGAATAAACACATCACAAATAAGTTTCTGGGAACGCTTCTGTATAGTTTTATGTGAATATATTTCCTTTTCCCCATATGCCTCAAAGCACTCCAAATATCCACTTGCACATTATAGAAACATAGTCTTTCAAAACTTGTCAATCAAAGAAAGGTTCAACTCCGTGAGATGAGTGCACACATCACAGAGAAGTTTCTCGGAATGTTTCTGTGTAGTTTTTATGTGAAGATATTGCCTTTTCCACAATAGGCCTCAAAGCGTTCCAAATATCCAATTGCAGATTCCACAAAAAAAGTTTTTTAAAACTGCTCAATCAAATGATAGATTAAACTCTGTGAGATTAGTGCACACATGTCAAAAAAGTTTCTCAGAATGCTTCTGTGTACTTTTTAGGGGAAGATATTTCCTTTTCCACCATCGGCCACAAAGGACTCCAAATAACCACATGCAGATTCTAGTAACACAGAGTTTCAAAACTGCTCTATCAAAAGATAAGTTCAACTCTGAGAGTTTAGTGCAACCATCGTGAAGAAGTTTCTCAGAATGCTTCTGAGTAGTGTTTATGTGAAGATATTTCCTTTTCCACCATAGGCCTGAAAGCCCTCCAAATATCCACTTGCAGATCCTACAAAAAGAAAGTTTCGAAATGCTCTCTCAAACGATAGTTTCGACTACTGTGGTATGAATACACACATCACAAAGAAGTTTCTCAGAATGCTTCTGTGTAGTTTTTATGTGAAGATATTTCCTTTTCCACAACAGCGTGCAAAACGCTTCAAATATGCCCTTAGAGATTCCACAAAAAGAGTGTTTCCAAACTACTCAAATCAAAAAATGATTTCAACTCTGTGAGATGAATGCACACATCACAAACTAGTTTCTCAGAATGTTTCTGCCTGGTTCTCATGCGAAGATAGTTCCTTTTTCACCATAGGCCGCAATGTACTCCAAATATCCACCTGCAGATTCTACAAAAGTGAGTTTCAAAACTGCTCTATCAAAAGATCAGTTCGTCTCTGTGAGTTGAATGCATACATCAAAAAGAAGCTTCTCAAAATGCTTCTGTGTGGTTTTTCGGTGAAGATAGTTCTTTTTCTACCATAGGTCTCAAACCACTCCAAATATCCACTTGTAGATTCTATAAAAAGGAATGTTCAAAATTGCTCAATAAAAATAAAGTTTCAACACCGTGAGATGAGTGCACAAATCACAAAGGAGTTTCTCAAAATGCTTCTGGGTAGTTTTTCTGTGAAGATAGTTCCTTTTCTACCATGGGCCACAAAGGGCTCCAAATACCCACTTGCAGATTCTACAAAAAGAGAGTTTCACAACTGCTCTATCAAACAATATGTTCAACTTTGTGGGTTGAACACAAATATCACAAGAATTTTCTCCCAATGCTTCTGTGTAGTTTTTATGTGAAGACATTTCTTTTCCCTCCATAGTCCACAAAGTGCTCCAAATATCCACTTACATATTCTAGAAAAAGATTGCTTGGAAACTGCACAATGAAAAGAAAGGTTCAAATATATGAGATGAATGCACACATCACAAAGAAGTTTCTCAGAATCTCTCTGTGTAATTTTTATGTGAAGATATTTCCTTTCCCACCTTAGGTCTTAAAACGCTCCAAATATCCACTTGCAGATACTACAAGAAGATTGTTTCAAAACTGCACAAAAAAAGAAATGTTCAATTCTGTTTGATGAATGCACACATCACAAAGAAGTTTCTCAGAATGCTTCTCTGTAGTTTTTATGTGAAGATATTTCCTTTTCCACAATAGGCCTCAAAGGGCTCCAAATATCCACTTCCAGATTCTATGAAAAGAATATTTCCAAACTGCTCAATCATAGGAAATGTTCAACTCTGTGAGATGAATGCACACATCACAAGAAATTTCTCAGAATCCTTCAGTGTAGGTTTTATGAGAAGATAATTCCTTTTCCACAATAGTTCTCAAAGCACTCAAAATATCCACTTGCAGATTCTACAAAAGGAGTATTTCAAAACTGCTCAATCAAAAGAAAGGTTCAACTCTGTGGGATGAATGGACACATCACAAAGAAGTTTCTCAGAATGCTTCTGTGTAGTATTTTTGTGAAGATATTTCTTTTCCACCATAGACCGCCAGGGGACACAAATATCCACTTTCAGATTCTACAACAAGAGAGGTTCAAAACTACTCGATCAAGAGATGGTTTCAACTATGTGAGTTGAATGCACACATCACAAAGAACTATGTCGGAATTCTTCTGTGTAGTTTTTATGTGAAGATATTTCCTTTTCCACAATAGACGTCAAAGTGATCCAGATATCCACTTGCAGATTCCACAAAAAGAGTGTTTCAAAAGTGCACAACCAAAAGAAAGGTTCAACTAGGTGAGATGAATGCACACATCAGAAGGAAGTTTCTCAGAATGCTTCTGCATAGCTTTTAAGGGAAGATACTTCCTTTTCCAACATAGGCCTCAAAGCACTCCAAATATCCTCCTGGAGATACCACAAAAAGAGTGTTTGCAAACTGCTCAATCAAAAGAAAGATTTAACTCTGTGAGATGAATCCACACATGACAAAGAAGTTTCTCAGAATGCTTCTGTGTAGTTTTTATGTGAAGATATTTCCTTTTCCACAATAAGACCCAAAAGGCTCCAAATATTCACTTGCAGATTCTAAAAAAAACAGTGTTTCAAAACTGCTCAATCAAAAGATAGTTCAACTCTGTGAGAAGAATGCTCACATCACTGAGAAGTTTCTCAGAATGCTTCTGTGTAGTTTTTATATGAAGATATTTCCTTTCCCACCGTAGGCCACAAAAGGCTCCAAATATCCACTTGCAGATACTATGAAAAGAGAGTTTCAAAACTGCTCATTCAAAAGATAGGTTCAACTCTGTGGTTTGAATGCACACAGCACAAAGAAGTTTCACAGAATGTGTCTGTGTAGTTTTTATGTGCGGATGTTTCCTTTTCCACCATATGCCTAAATATTTCCCAATTTCCACTTGCAGATTCTACAAGAAGAGTGTTTCAAAACTGCTGTATCAAATAAAGTTGAACTCTGTGAGGTGAATGCACACAGCACAAAATGGTTTCTCAGAATGCTTCCCTTGTTGTTTTTATATGAAGATGTTTCCTTTTCAACAATAGGCCTCAAAGTGCTTCAAATGTCCACTTGCAGATTCTACAAAAAGAGTGTTTCAAAACTGCTCAATCAAAAGAAAGGTTCGACTCTGGGAAATTAATGCACACATCACAAAGAAGTTTCTCAGCTTCTGTGTAGTTTTCATGTGAAGTTATTTCCTTTTCCACAATAGGCCGCAAAGGGCTCCAAATATCAACTTACAGATTCTAGGAAAAGAGAGTTTCAAAACTGCTCTACGAAAAGATAGGTTGAACTCTGTGAGATGAATGCACACATCACAAAGAAGTTTCTCAGAATGCATCTGTGTAGTTTTTACGGGAAGACATTTCCTTTTCCACCATCTTCCACAAAGGTCTCCAAGTAACCACTTGCAGATTCTACAGAAAGACACTTTAAAAACTGCTCTATCAAAAGATCAGTTCAAGTCTGTGGTTTGAATGCACACATCACAAAGAATTTTCTCAGAATGCTTCTGTGTAGTTTTCATATGAAGATATTTCCTTTTCCACCATAGGCCTCAAAGCACTCCAAATATCCACTTGCAGATTCTACAAAAAGAGATTTTCAAAACTAGTCAATCAAAAGAAAGGTTCAACTCTGTCAGTTGAATGCACATATCACAAACAAGTTTCTCGGAATGCGTCTGTGTAGTTTTTATGTGAAGATATTTCCTTCTCCACAACAGGCCTCAAAGTGCTCCGAATATCCACTTGCAGATTTTACTAAAGAGTGTTTCCAAACTGCTCAATCAAGAGGAAGTTTCAAGTCTGTGAGCTGAACGCACACATCACAAAGTAGTTTCTGAGAATGCTTCTGTGTAGTTTTTATGTGAAGATGTTTCCTTTTCCACCATAGGCTGCAAAGGGCTCCAAATATCCACTTGCAGATTCTACAAAAAGAGAGTTTCAAAAGTGCTCTATCAAAAGATAGGTTCAACTATGTGATATGAATGCACACATCACAAAGTAGTTTCTCAGAATGCTTCTGTGTAGTTTTTATGTAAAGATATTTCCTTTTCCACCATAGGCCTCAAAGCACTCCAAATATCCACTTGCAGATTCTACAAAAAGAGATTTTCAAAACTATTTAATCAAAAGAAAGGTTCAAATCTGTCAGTTGAAGGTACATATCACAAACAAGTTTATTGGAATGCTTCTGTGTAGTTTTTATGTGAAGATATTTCCTTTTCCACAACAGGCCTCAAGGTGCTCCAAATATCCACTTGCAGATTTCACTAAAAGTGTGTTTCCAAGCTGCTCAATCAAGAGGAAGTTTCAAGTCTGTGAGGTGAATGCACACATTACAAAGAAGTTACTGAGAATGCTTCTGTGTAGTTTTTATGTGAAGATATTTCCTTTTCCACCGCAGGCCTCAAAGCGCTGCAAATATCCACTTGCAGATTCTACAAAAAGAGAGTTTCAAAACTGCTGTATCAAAAGATAGGGTCAACTCTGCGAGTTGAATAAACACATCACAAATAAGTTTCTGGGAACGCTTCTGTACAGTTTTATGTGAATATATTTCCTTTTCCACCATATGCCTCAAAGCACTCCAAATATCCACTTGCACATTATAGAAACATAGTCTTTCAAAACTTGTCAATCAAAGAAAGGTTCAACTCCGTGAGATGAGTGCACACATCACAGAGAAGTTTCTCGGAATGTTTCTGTGTAGTTTTTATGTGAAGATATTGCCTTTTCCACAATAGGCCTCAAAGCGTTCCAAATATCCAATTGCAGATTCCACAAAAAAAGTTTTTTAAAACTGCTCAATCAAATGATAGATTAAACTCTGTGAGATTAGTGCACACATGTCAAAAAAGTTTCTCAGAATGCTTCTGTGTACTTTTTAGGGGAAGATATTTCCTTTTCCACCATCGGCCACAAAGGACTCCAAATAACCACATGCAGATTCTAGTAACACAGAGTTTCAAAACTGCTCTATCAAAAGATAAGTTCAACTCTGAGAGTTTAGTGCAACCATCGTGAAGAAGTTTCTCAGAATGCTTCTGAGTAGTGTTTATGTGAAGATATTTCCTTTTCCACCATAGGCCTGAAAGCCCTCCAAATATCCACTTGCAGATCCTACAAAAAGAAAGTTTCGAAATGCTCTCTCAAACGATAGTTTCGACTCTGTGGTATGAATACACACATCACAAAGAAGTTTCTCAGAATGCTTCTGTGTAGTTTTTAAATGAAGATATTTCTTTTTCCACCATAGGCCTCAAAGCACTCCAAATATGCACTTCCAGATTCTACAAAAAGAGTGTTTCAGAACTGCTCAATCAAAAGGAAGGTTCCAGTCTGAGACAAATACACACATCAAAAGGTAGTTTCTCAGAATGCTTCTGTGTAGTTTTTATGTGAAGATATTTTCCTTTCCACCATAGGCCACAAATGGCTCTAAATACCCACTTACATTTTCCACAAAAAGAGAGTTTCAAAACTGCTCTACCAAAGGTAAGTTTAACGCTGTGAGTTAAGAACATCACAAAGAAGTTTCTCAGAATGCTTCTGTGTAGTTCTTACGTAAAGATATTTCCTTTTACACAATAGGCAGAAAAGTGCTCCAAATATCCACTTGAAGATTCTACAAAAACCGTGTTTCAAAACTGCCGAATCAAAAGAAAGGTTCAACTCTGTGAGATGAATACACACATAACAAAGGAGTTTCTCAGAATGCTTCTGTGTAGCTTTTATATGAAGACATTTAGTTTTCCACAACAGGCCTCAAAGCTCTCTCCATATCCACTTGCAGATTCTACCGAAAGAGTGCTTCCAAACTGCTCAATCAAAAGAGACATTCAAATCTGTGAGGTGAATGCAGACATCGTAAAGAAGTTTCTCAGAATGCTTCTGTGTATTTTTTGTGTGAAGTTATTCGTTTTTGCACCATAGGCCTCCAAGCGTTCTAAATATCCACTTCTAGATTCTACAAAAAGAGAGTTTCAAAACTACTCAAACAAAAGGTTCAATTCTGTGAGTTGAAAGCAAACATCACAAAGAAGTTTCTCAGAATGCGTCTGTGTAGTTTTGATGTGAAGATATTTCCTTTTCACAGTAGAATGCAAAGGGCTCCAAATATCCACTTGGAGATTCTACAAAAAGAGTTTCAAAACCGCTCTGTCAAATGATAGGTTGAACTCCCGGAGGTGAATACACACATCACAAAGAGGTTTCTCAGCATGCTTCTGTGTAGTTTTTATGTAAACATATTTCCGTTTCTATCATAGGCCTCAAAGTGCTCCAAATATTCACTTGTACATTCTACCAAACGAGTATTTCAAAACTGCTCAATCAAATGGAAGGTTCAAAACCGTGACATGAATGCCCACATCACAAAGTAGTTTACTCAGAATGCTTCTGTGTAGTTTTTATGTGAAGATATTTCCTTTTCCACAACAGCGTGCAAAACGCTTCAAATATGCCCTTAGAGATTCCACAAAAAGAGTGTTTCCAAACTACTCAAATCAAAAAATGATTTCAACTCTGTGAGATGAATGCACACATCACAAACTAGTTTCTCAGAATGTTTCTGCCTGGTTCTCATGCGAAGAATAGTTCCTTTTTCACCATAGGCCGCAATGTACTCCAAATATCCACCTGCAGATTCTACAAAAGTGAGTTTCAAAACTGCTCTATCAAAAGATCAGTTCGTCTCTGTGAGTTGAATGCATACATCAAAAAGAAGCTTCTCAAAATGCTTCTGTGTGGTTTTTCGGTGAAGATAGTTCTTTTTCTACCATAGGTCTCAAACCACTCCAAATATCCACTTGTAGATTCTATAAAAAGGAATGTTCAAAATTGCTCAATAAAAATAAAGTTTCAACACCGTGAGATGAGTGCACAAATCACAAAGGAGTTTCTCAAAATGCTTCTGGGTAGTTTTTCTGTGAAGATAGTTCCTTTTCTACCATGGGCCACAAAGGGCTCCAAATACCCACTTGCAGATTCTACAAAAAGAGAGTTTCACAACTGCTCTATCAAACAATATGTTCAACTTTGTGGGTTGAACACAAATATCACAAGAATTTTCTCCCAATGCTTCTGTGTAGTTTTTATGTGAAGACATTTCTTTTCCCTCCATAGTCCACAAAGTGCTCCAAATATCCACTTACATATTCTAGAAAAAGATTGCTTGGAAACTGCACAATGAAAAGAAAGGTTCAAATATATGAGATGAATGCACACATCACAAAGAAGTTTCTCAGAATCTCTCTGTGTAATTTTTATGTGAAGATATTTCCTTTCCCACCTTAGGTCTTAAAACGCTCCAAATATCCACTTGCAGATACTACAAGAAGATTGTTTCAAAACTGCACAAAAAAAGAAATGTTCAATTCTGTTTGATGAATGCACACATCACAAAGAAGTTTCTCAGAATGCTTCTCTGTAGTTTTTATGTGAAGATATTTCCTTTTCCACAATAGGCCTCAAAGGGCTCCAAATATCCACTTCCAGATTCTATGAAAAGAATATTTCCAAACTGCTCAATCATAGGAAATGTTCAACTCTGTGAGATGAATGCACACATCACAAGAAATTTCTCAGAATCCTTCAGTGTAGGTTTTATGAGAAGATAATTCCTTTTCCACAATAGTTCTCAAAGCACTCAAAATATCCACTTGCAGATTCTACAAAAGGAGTATTTCAAAACTGCTCAATCAAAAGAAAGGTTCAACTCTGTGAGATGAATGGACACATCACAAAGAAGTTTCTCAGAATGCTTCTGTGTAGTATTTTTGTGAAGATATTTCTTTTCCACCATAGACCGCCAGGGGACACAAATATCCACTTTCAGATTCTACAACAAGAGAGGTTCAAAACTACTCGATCAAGAGATGGTTTCAACTATGTGAGTTGAATGCACACATCACAAAGAACTATGTCGGAATTCTTCTGTGTAGTTTTTATGTGAAGATATTTCCTTTTCCACAATAGACGTCAAAGTGATCCAGATATCCACTTGCAGATTCCACAAAAAGAGTGTTTCAAAAGTGCACAACCAAAAGAAAGGTTCAACTAGGTGAGATGAATGCACACATCAGAAGGAAGTTCTCAGAATGCTTCTGCTAGCTTTTAAGGGAAGATACTTCCTTTTCCAACATAGGCCTCAAAGCACTCCAAATATCCTCCTGGAGATACCACAAAAAGAGTGTTTGCAAACTGCTCAATCAAAAGAAAGATTTAACTCTGTGAGATGAATCCACACATGACAAAGAAGTTTCTCAGAATGCTTCTGTGTAGTTTTTATGTGAAGATATTTCCTTTTCCACAATAAGACCCAAAAGGCTCCAAATATTCACTTGCAGATTCTAAAAAAAACAGTGTTTCAAAACTGCTCAATCAAAAGATAGTTCAACTCTGTGAGAAGAATGCTCACATCACTGAGAAGTTTCTCAGAATGCTTCTGTGTAGTTTTTATATGAAGATATTTCCTTTCCCACCGTAGGCCACAAAAGGCTCCAAATATCCACTTGCAGATACTATGAAAAGAGAGTTTCAAAACTGCTCATTCAAAAGATAGGTTCAACTCTGTGGTTTGAATGCACACAGCACAAAGAAGTTTCACAGAATGTGTCTGTGTAGTTTTTATGTGCGGATGTTTCCTTTTCCACCATATGCCTAAATATTTCCCAATTTCCACTTGCAGATTCTACAAGAAGAGTGTTTCAAAACTGCTGTATCAAATAAAGTTGAACTCTGTGAGGTGAATGCACACAGCACAAAATGGTTTCTCAGAATGCTTCCTTGTTGTTTTTATATGAAGATGTTTCCTTTTCAACAATAGGCCTCAAAGTGCTTCAAATGTCCACTTGCAGATTCTACAAAAAGAGTGTTTCAAAACTGCTCAATCAAAAGAAAGGTTCGACTCTGGGAAATTAATGCACACATCACAAAGAAGTTTCTCAGCTTCTGTGTAGTTTTCATGTGAAGTTATTTCCTTTTCCACAATAGGCCGCAAAGGGCTCCAAATATCAACTTACAGATTCTAGGAAAAGAGAGTTTCAAAACTGCTCTACGAAAAGATAGGTTGAACTCTGTGAGATGAATGCACACATCACAAAGAAGTTTCTCAGAATGCATCTGTGTAGTTTTTACGGGAAGACATTTCCTTTTCCACCATCTTCCACAAAGGTCTCCAAGTAACCACTTGCAGATTCTACAGAAAGACACTTTAAAAACTGCTCTATCAAAAGATCAGTTCAAGTACTGTGGTTTGAATGCACACATCACAAAGAATTTTCTCAGAATGCTTCTGTGTAGTTTTCATATGAAGATATTTCCTTTTCCACCATAGGCCTCAAAGCACTCCAAATATCCACTTGCAGATTCTACAAAAAGAGATTTTCAAAACTAGTCAATCAAAAGAAAGGTTCAACTCTGTCAGTTGAATGCACATATCACAAACAAGTTTCTCGGAATGCGTCTGTGTAGTTTTTATGTGAAGATATTTCCTTCTCCACAACAGGCCTCAAAGTGCTCCGAATATCCACTTGCAGATTTTACTAAAGAGTGTTTCCAAACTGCTCAATCAAGAGGAAGTTTCAAGTCTGTGAGCTGAACGCACACATCACAAAGTAGTTTCTGAGAAGGCTTCTGTGTAGTTTTTATGTGAAGATGTTTCCTTTTCCACCATAGGCTGCAAAGGGCTCCAAATATCCACTTGCAGATTCTACAAAAAGAGAGTTTCAAAAGTGCTCTATCAAAAGATAGGTTCAACTATGTGATATGAATGCACACATCACAAAGTAGTTTCTCAGAATGCTTCTGTGTAGTTTTTATGTAAAGATATTTCCTTTTCCACCATAGGCCTCAAAGCACTCCAAATATCCACTTGCAGATTCTACAAAAAGAGATTTTCAAAACTATTTAATCAAAAGAAAGGTTCAAATCTGTCAGTTGAAGGTACATATCACAAACAAGTTTATTGGAATGCTTCTGTGTAGTTTTTATGTGAAGATATTTCCTTTTCCACAACAGGCCTCAAGGTGCTCCAAATATCCACTTGCAGATTTCACTAAAAGTGTGTTTCCAAGCTGCTCAATCAAGAGGAAGTTTCAAGTCTGTGAGGTGAATGCACACATTACAAAGAAGTTACTGAGAATGCTTCTGTGTAGTTTTTATGTGAAGATATTTCCTTTTCCACCGCAGGCCTCAAAGCGCTGCAAATATCCACTTGCAGATTCTACAAAAAGAGAGTTTCAAAACTGCTGTATCAAAAGATAGGGTCAACTCTGCGAGTTGAATAAGCACATCACAAATAAGTTTCTGGGAACGCTTCTGTATAGTTTTATGTGAATATATTTCCTTTTCCACCATATGCCTCAAAGCACTCCAAATATCCACTTGCACATTATAGAAACATAGTCTTTCAAAACTTGTCAATCAAAGAAAGGTTCAACTCCGTGAGATGAGTGCACACATCACAGAGAAGTTTACTCGGAATGTTTCTGTGTAGTTTTTATGTGAAGATATTGCCTTTTCCACAATAGGCCTCAAAGCGTTCCAAATATCCAATTGCAGATTCCACAAAAAAAGTTTTTTAAAACTGCTCAATCAAATGATAGATTAAACTCTGTGAGATTAGTGCACACATGTCAAAAAAGTTTCTCAGAATGCTTCTGTGTACTTTTTAGGGGAAGATATTTCCTTTTCCACCATCGGCCACAAAGGACTCCAAATAACCACATGCAGATTCTAGTAACACAGAGTTTCAAAACTGCTCTATCAAAAGATAAGTTCAACTCTGAGAGTTTAGTGCAACCATCGTGAAGAAGTTTCTCAGAATGCTTCTGAGTAGTGTTTATGTGAAGATATTTCCTTTTCCACCATAGGCCTGAAAGCCCTCCAAATATCCACTTGCAGATCCTACAAAAAGAAAGTTTCGAAATGCTCTCTCAAACGATAGTTTCGACTCTGTGGTATGAATACACACATCACAAAGAAGTTTCTCAGAATGCTTCTGTGTAGTTTTTAAATGAAGATATTTCTTTTTTCCACCATAGGCCTCAAAGCACTCCAAATATGCACTTCCAGATTCTACAAAAAGAGTGTTTCAGAACTGCTCAATCAAAAGGAAGGTTCCAGTCTGAGACAAATACACACATCAAAAGGTAGTTTCTCAGAATGCTTCTGTGTAGTTTTTATGTGAAGATATTTTCCTTTCCACCATAGGCCACAAATGGCTCTAAATACCCACTTACATTTTCCACAAAAAGAGAGTTTCAAAACTGCTCTACCAAAGGTAAGTTTAACGCTGTGAGTTAAGAACATCACAAAGAAGTTTCTCAGAATGCTTCTGTGTAGTTCTTACGTAAAGATATTCCTTTTACACAATAGGCAGAAAAGTGCTCCAAATATCCACTTGAAGATTCTACAGAAACCGTGTTTCAAAACTGCCGAATCAAAAGAAAGGTTCAACTCTGTGAGATGAATGCACACATAACAAAGGAGTTTCTCAGAATGCTTCTGTGTAGCTTTTATATGAAGACATTTAGTTTTCCACAACAGGCCTCAAAGCTCTCTCCATATCCACTTGCAGATTCTACCGAAAGAGTGCTTCCAAACTGCTCAATCAAAAGAGACATTCAAATCTGTGAGGTGAATGCAGACATCGTAAAGAAGTTTCTCAGAATGCTTCTGTGTATTTTTTGTGTGAAGTTATTCGTTTTTGCACCATAGGCCTCCAAGCGTTCTAAATATCCACTTCTAGATTCTACAAAAAGAGAGTTTCAAAACTACTCAAACAAAAGGTTCAATTCTGTGAGTTGAAAGCAAACATCACAAAGAAGTTTCTCAGAATGCGTCTGTGTAGTTTTGATGTGAAGATATTTCCTTTTCACAGTAGAATGCAAAGGGCTCCAAATATCCACTTGGAGATTCTACAAAAAGAGTTTCAAAACCGCTCTGTCAAATGATAGGTTGAACTCCCGGAGGTGAATACACACATCACAAAGAGGTTTCTCAGCATGCTTCTGTGTAGTTTTTATGTAAACATATTTCCGTTTCTATCATAGGCCTCAAAGTGCTCCAAATATTCACTTGTACATTCTACCAAACGAGTATTTCAAAACTGCTCAATCAAATGGAAGGTTCAAAACCGTGACATGAATGCCCACATCACAAAGTAGTTTCTCAGAATGCTTCTGTGTAGTTTTTATGTGAAGATATTTCCTTTTCCACAACAGCGTGCAAAACGCTTCAAATATGCCCTTAGAGATTCCACAAAAAGAGTGTTTCCAAACTACTCAAATCAAAAAATGATTTCAACTCTGTGAGATGAATGCACACATCACAAACTAGTTTCTCAGAATGTTTCTGCCTGGTTCTCATGCGAAGATAGTTCCTTTTTCACCATAGGCCGCAATGTACTCCAAATATCCACCTGCAGATTCTACAAAAGTGAGTTTCAAAACTGCTCTATCAAAAGATCAGTTCGTCTCTGTGAGTTGAATGCATACATCAAAAAGAAGCTTCTCAAAATGCTTCTGTGTGGTTTTTCGGTGAAGATAGTTCTTTTTCTACCATAGGTCTCAAACCACTCCAAATATCCACTTGTAGATTCTATAAAAAGGAATGTTCAAAATTGCTCAATAAAAATAAAGTTTCAACACCGTGAGATGAGTGCACAAATCACAAAGGAGTTTCTCAAAATGCTTCTGGGTAGTTTTTCTGTGAAGATAGTTCCTTTTCTACCATGGGCCACAAAGGGCTCCAAATACCCACTTGCAGATTCTACAAAAAGAGAGTTTCACAACTGCTCTATCAAACAATATGTTCAACTTTGTGGGTTGAACACAAATATCACAAGAATTTTCTCCCAATGCTTCTGTGTAGTTTTTATGTGAAGACATTTCTTTTCCCTCCATAGTCCACAAAGTGCTCCAAATATCCACTTACATATTCTAGAAAAAGATTGCTTGGAAACTGCACAATGAAAAGAAAGGTTCAAATATATGAGATGAATGCACACATCACAAAGAAGTTTCTCAGAATCTCTCTGTGTAATTTTTATGTGAAGATATTTCCTTTCCCACCTTAGGTCTTAAAACGCTCCAAATATCCACTTGCAGATACTACAAGAAGATTGTTTCAAAACTGCACAAAAAAAGAAATGTTCAATTCTGTTTGATGAATGCACACATCACAAAGAAGTTTCTCAGAATGCTTCTCTGTAGTTTTTATGTGAAGATATTTCCTTTTCCACAATAGGCCTCAAAGGGCTCCAAATATCCACTTCCAGATTCTATGAAAAGAATATTTCCAAACTGCTCAATCATAGGAAATGTTCAACTCTGTGAGATGAATGCACACATCACAAGAAATTTCTCAGAATCCTTCAGTGTAGGTTTTATGAGAAGATAATTCCTTTTCCACAATAGTTCTCAAAGCACTCAAAATATCCACTTGCAGATTCTACAAAAGGAGTATTTCAAAACTGCTCAATCAAAAGAAAGGTTCAACTCTGTGAGATGAATGGACACATCACAAAGAAGTTTCTCAGAATGCTTCTGTGTAGTATTTTTGTGAAGATATTTCTTTTCCACCATAGACCGCCAGGGGACACAAATATCCACTTTCAGATTCTACAACAAGAGAGGTTCAAAACTACTCGATCAAGAGATGGTTTCAACTATGTGAGTTGAATGCACACATCACAAAGAACTATGTCGGAATTCTTCTGTGTAGTTTTTATGTGAAGATATTTCCTTTTCCACAATAGACGTCAAAGTGATCCAGATATCCACTTGCAGATTCCACAAAAAGAGTGTTTCAAAAGTGCACAACCAAAAGAAAGGTTCAACTAGGTGAGATGAATGCACACATCAGAAGGAAGTTTCTCAGAATGCTTCTGCATAGCTTTTAAGGGAAGATACTTCCTTTTCCAACATAGGCCTCAAAGCACTCCAAATATCCTCCTGGAGATACCACAAAAAGAGTGTTTGCAAACTGCTCAATCAAAAGAAAGATTTAACTCTGTGAGATGAATCCACACATCACAAAGAAGTTTCTCAGAATGCTTCTGTGTAGTTTTTAATTGAAGATATTTCTTTTTCCACAATAGGCCTCAAAGCGCTCAAAATATCCACTTTCACATTCTACAAAAAGAGTGTTTCAAAACTGCACAATCAAAAGATAGTTCAACTCTGTGAGTTGAATGCGCACAACAAAAAGATGTTTCTCAGATTTCTGTGTAGTTTTTATGTAAAGATATTTCCTTTTCCACAATGGGCCTCAAAGTGCTCCAAATATCCACTTGCAGATTCTACAAAAAGAGATTTCCAAAACTGCTCCATCAAAAGAAAGTTTCACCTCTGTGAGATGAATGCACATACCACAAAGAAGTGTCTCAGAATGCTTCTGTGTAGTTTTTATGTGAAGATATTTCCTTTTCCACAATAAGACCCAAAAGGCTCCAAATATTCACTTGCAGATTCTAAAAAAAACAGTGTTTCAAAACTGCTCAATCAAAAGAAAGGTTCAACTCTGTGAGAAGAATGCTCACATCACTGAGAAGTTTCTCAGAATGCTTCTGTGTAGTTTTTATATGAAGATATTTCCTTTCCCACCGTAGGCCACAAAAGGCTCCAAATATCCACTTGCAGATACTATGAAAAGAGAGTTTCAAAACTGCTCATTCAAAAGATAGGTTCAACTCTGTGGTTTGAATGCACACAGCACAAAGAAGTTTCACAGAATGTGTCTGTGTAGTTTTTATGTGCGGATGTTTCCTTTTCCACCATATGCCTAAATATTTCCCAATTTCCACTTGCAGATTCTACAAGAAGAGTGTTTCAAAACTGCTGTATCAAATAAAGTTGAACTCTGTGAGGTGAATGCACACAGCACAAAATGGTTTCTCAGAATGCTTTCCCTTGTTGTTTTTATATGAAGATGTTTCCTTTTCAACAATAGGCCTCAAAGTGCTTCAAATGTCCACTTGCAGATTCTACAAAAAGAGTGTTTCAAAACTGCTCAATCAAAAGAAAGGTTCGACTCTGGGAAATTAATGCACACATCACAAAGAAGTTTCTCAGCTTCTGTGTAGTTTTCATGTGAAGTTATTTCCTTTTCCACAATAGGCCGCAAAGGGCTCCAAATATCAACTTACAGATTCTAGGAAAAGAGAGTTTCAAAACTGCTCTACGAAAAGATAGGTTGAACTCTGTGAGATGAATGCACACATCACAAAGAAGTTTCTCAGAATGCATCTGTGTAGTTTTTACGGGAAGACATTCTCCTTTTCCACCATCTTCCACAAAGGTCTCCAAGTAACCACTTGCAGATTCTACAGAAAGACACTTTAAAAACTGCTCTATCAAAAGATCAGTTCAAGTCTGTGGTTTGAATGCACACATCACAAAGAATTTTCTCAGAATGCTTCTGTGTAGTTTTCATATGAAGATATTTCCTTTTCCACCATAGGCCTCAAAGCACTCCAAATATCCACTTGCAGATTCTACAAAAAGAGATTTTCAAAACTAGTCAATCAAAAGAAAGGTTCAACTCTGTCAGTTGAATGCACATATCACAAACAAGTTTCTCGGAATGCGTCTGTGTAGTTTTTATGTGAAGATATTTCCTTCTCCACAACAGGCCTCAAAGTGCTCCGAATATCCACTTGCAGATTTTACTAAAGAGTGTTTCCAAACTGCTCAATCAAGAGGAAGTTTCAAGTCTGTGAGCTGAACGCACACATCACAAAGTAGTTTCTGAGAATGCTTCTGTGTAGTTTTTATGTGAAGATGTTTCCTTTTCCACCATAGGCTGCAAAGGGCTCCAAATATCCACTTGCAGATTCTACAAAAAGAGAGTTTCAAAAGTGCTCTATCAAAAGATAGGTTCAACTATGTGATATGAATGCACACATCACAAAGTAGTTTCTCAGAATGCTTCTGTGTAGTTTTTATGTAAAGATATTTCCTTTTCCACCATAGGCCTCAAAGCACTCCAAATATCCACTTGCAGATTCTACAAAAAGAGATTTTCAAAACTATTTAATCAAAAGAAAGGTTCAAATCTGTCAGTTGAAGGTACATATCACAAACAAGTTTATTGGAATGCTTCTGTGTAGTTTTTATGTGAAGATATTTCCTTTTCCACAACAGGCCTCAAGGTGCTCCAAATATCCACTTGCAGATTTCACTAAAAGTGTGTTTCCAAGCTGCTCAATCAAGAGGAAGTTTCAAGTCTGTGAGGTGAATGCACACATTACAAAGAAGTTACTGAGAATGCTTCTGTGTAGTTTTTATGTGAAGATATTTCCTTTTCCACCGCAGGCCTCAAAGCGCTGCAAATATCCACTTGCAGATTCTACAAAAAGAGAGTTTCAAAACTGCTGTATCAAAAGATAGGGTCAACTCTGCGAGTTGAATAAACACATCACAAATAAGTTTCTGGGAACGCTTCTGTATAGTTTTATGTGAATATATTTCCTTTTCCACCATATGCCTCAAAGCACTCCAAATATCCACTTGCACATTATAGAAACATAGTCTTTCAAAACTTGTCAATCAAAGAAAGGTTCAACTCCGTGAGATGAGTGCACACATCACAGAGAAGTTCTCGGAATGTTTCTGTGTAGTTTTTATGTGAAGATATTGCCTTTTCCACAATAGGCCTCAAAGCGTTCCAAATATCCAATTGCAGATTCCACAAAAAAAGTTTTTTAAAACTGCTCAATCAAATGATAGATTAAACTCTGTGAGATTAGTGCACACATGTCAAAAAAGTTTCTCAGAATGCTTCTGTGTACTTTTTAGGGGAAGATATTTCCTTTTCCACCATCGGCCACAAAGGACTCCAAATAACCACATGCAGATTCTAGTAACACAGAGTTTCAAAACTGCTCTATCAAAAGATAAGTTCAACTCTGAGAGTTTAGTGCAACCATCGTGAAGAAGTTTCTCAGAATGCTTCTGAGTAGTGTTTATGTGAAGATATTTCCTTTTCCACCATAGGCCTGAAAGCCCTCCAAATATCCACTTGCAGATCCTACAAAAAGAAAGTTTCGAAATGCTCTCTCAAACGATAGTTTCGACTCTGTGGTATGAATACACACATCACAAAGAAGTTTCTCAGAATGCTTCTGTGTAGTTTTTAAATGAAGATATTTCTTTTTCCACCATAGGCCTCAAAGCACTCCAAATATGCACTTCCAGATTCTACAAAAAGAGTGTTTCAGAACTGCTCAATCAAAAGGAAGGTTCCAGTCTGAGACAAATACACACATCAAAAGGTAGTTTCTCAGAATGCTTCTGTGTAGTTTTTATGTGAAGATATTTTCCTTTCCACCATAGGCCACAAATGGCTCTAAATACCCACTTACATTTTCCACAAAAAGAGAGTTTCAAAACTGCTCTACCAAAGGTAAGTTTAACGCTGTGAGTTAAGAACATCACAAAGAAGTTTCTCAGAATGCTTCTGTGTAGTTCTTACGTAAAGATATTTCCTTTTACACAATAGGCAGAAAAGTGCTCCAAATATCCACTTGAAGATTCTACAAAAACCGTGTTTCAAAACTGCCGAATCAAAAGAAAGGTTCAACTCTGTGAGATGAATGCACACATAACAAAGGAGTTTCTCAGAATGCTTCTGTGTAGCTTTTATATGAAGACATTTAGTTTTCCACAACAGGCCTCAAAGCTCTCTCCATATCCACTTGCAGATTCTACCGAAAGAGTGCTTCCAAACTGCTCAATCAAAAGAGACATTCAAATCTGTGAGGTGAATGCAGACATCGTAAAGAAGTTTCTCAGAATGCTTCTGTGTATTTTTTGTGTGAAGTTATTCGTTTTTGCACCATAGGCCTCCAAGCGTTCTAAATATCCACTTCTAGATTCTACAAAAAGAGAGTTTCAAAACTACTCAAACAAAAGGTTCAATTCTGTGAGTTGAAAGCAAACATCACAAAGAAGTTTCTCAGAATGCGTCTGTGTAGTTTTGATGTGAAGATATTTCCTTTTCACAGTAGAATGCAAAGGGCTCCAAATATCCACTTGGAGATTCTACAAAAAGAGTTTCAAAACCGCTCTGTCAAATGATAGGTTGAACTCCCGGAGGTGAATACACACATCACAAAGAGGTTTCTCAGCATGCTTCTGTGTAGTTTTTATGTAAACATATTTCCGTTTCTATCATAGGCCTCAAAGTGCTCCAAATATTCACTTGTACATTCTACCAAACGAGTATTTCAAAACTGCTCAATCAAATGGAAGGTTCAAAACCGTGACATGAATGCCCACATCACAAAGTAGTTTCTCAGAATGCTTCTGTGTAGTTTTTATGTGAAGATATTTCCTTTTCCACAACAGCGTGCAAAACGCTTCAAATATGCCCTTAGAGATTCCACAAAAAGAGTGTTTCCAAACTACTCAAATCAAAAAATGATTTCAACTCTGTGAGATGAATGCACACATCACAAACTAGTTTCTCAGAATGTTTCTGCCTGGTTCTCATGCGAAGATAGTTCCTTTTTCACCATAGGCCGCAATGTACTCCAAATATCCACCTGCAGATTCTACAAAAGTGAGTTTCAAAACTGCTCTATCAAAAGATCAGTTCGTCTCTGTGAGTTGAATGCATACATCAAAAAGAAGCTTCTCAAAATGCTTCTGTGTGGTTTTTCGGTGAAGATAGTTCTTTTTCTACCATAGGTCTCAAACCACTCCAAATATCCACTTGTAGATTCTATAAAAAGGAATGTTCAAAATTGCTCAATAAAAATAAAGTTTCAACACCGTGAGATGAGTGCACAAATCAC
Organism: Homo sapiens; assembly: GCF_000001405.40. NCBI lineage: Eukaryota > Metazoa > Chordata > Mammalia > Primates > Hominidae > Homo > Homo sapiens. The sequence continues at coordinate 10,494,187 of NC_000024.10, read as the reverse complement.
AAAGGAGTTTCTCAAAATGCTTCTGGGTAGTTTTTCTGTGAAGATAGTTCCTTTTCTACCATGGGCCACAAAGGGCTCCAAATACCCACTTGCAGATTCTACAAAAAGAGAGTTTCACAACTGCTCTATCAAACAATATGTTCAACTTTGTGGGTTGAACACAAATATCACAAGAATTTTCTCCCAATGCTTCTGTGTAGTTTTTATGTGAAGACATTTCTTTTCCCTCCATAGTCCACAAAGTGCTCCAAATATCCACTTACATATTCTAGAAAAAGATTGCTTGGAAACTGCACAATGAAAAGAAAGGTTCAAATATATGAGATGAATGCACACATCACAAAGAAGTTTCTCAGAATCTCTCTGTGTAATTTTTATGTGAAGATATTTCCTTTCCCACCTTAGGTCTTAAAACGCTCCAAATATCCACTTGCAGATACTACAAGAAGATTGTTTCAAAACTGCACAAAAAAAGAAATGTTCAATTCTGTTTGATGAATGCACACATCACAAAGAAGTTTCTCAGAATGCTTCTCTGTAGTTTTTATGTGAAGATATTTCCTTTTCCACAATAGGCCTCAAAGGGCTCCAAATATCCACTTCCAGATTCTATGAAAAGAATATTTCCAAACTGCTCAATCATAGGAAATGTTCAACTCTGTGAGATGAATGCACACATCACAAGAAATTTCTCAGAATCCTTCAGTGTAGGTTTTATGAGAAGATAATTCCTTTTCCACAATAGTTCTCAAAGCACTCAAAATATCCACTTGCAGATTCTACAAAAGGAGTATTTCAAAACTGCTCAATCAAAAGAAAGGTTCAACTCTGTGAGATGAATGGACACATCACAAAGAAGTTTCTCAGAATGCTTCTGTGTAGTATTTTTGTGAAGATATTTCTTTTCCACCATAGACCGCCAGGGGACACAAATATCCACTTTCAGATTCTACAACAAGAGAGGTTCAAAACTACTCGATCAAGAGATGGTTTCAACTATGTGAGTTGAATGCACACATCACAAAGAACTATGTCGGAATTCTTCTGTGTAGTTTTTATGTGAAGATATTTCCTTTTCCACAATAGACGTCAAAGTGATCCAGATATCCACTTGCAGATTCCACAAAAAGAGTGTTTCAAAAGTGCACAACCAAAAGAAAGGTTCAACTAGGTGAGATGAATGCACACATCAGAAGGAAGTTCTCAGAATGCTTCTGCTAGCTTTTAAGGGAAGATACTTCCTTTTCCAACATAGGCCTCAAAGCACTCCAAATATCCTCCTGGAGATACCACAAAAAGAGTGTTTGCAAACTGCTCAATCAAAAGAAAGATTTAACTCTGTGAGATGAATCCACACATGACAAAGAAGTTTCTCAGAATGCTTCTGTGTAGTTTTTATGTGAAGATATTTCCTTTTCCACAATAAGACCCAAAAGGCTCCAAATATTCACTTGCAGATTCTAAAAAAAACAGTGTTTCAAAACTGCTCAATCAAAAGATAGTTCAACTCTGTGAGAAGAATGCTCACATCACTGAGAAGTTTCTCAGAATGCTTCTGTGTAGTTTTTATATGAAGATATTTCCTTTCCCACCGTAGGCCACAAAAGGCTCCAAATATCCACTTGCAGATACTATGAAAAGAGAGTTTCAAAACTGCTCATTCAAAAGATAGGTTCAACTCTGTGGTTTGAATGCACACAGCACAAAGAAGTTTCACAGAATGTGTCTGTGTAGTTTTTATGTGCGGATGTTTCCTTTTCCACCATATGCCTAAATATTTCCCAATTTCCACTTGCAGATTCTACAAGAAGAGTGTTTCAAAACTGCTGTATCAAATAAAGTTGAACTCTGTGAGGTGAATGCACACAGCACAAAATGGTTTCTCAGAATGCTTCCTTGTTGTTTTTATATGAAGATGTTTCCTTTTCAACAATAGGCCTCAAAGTGCTTCAAATGTCCACTTGCAGATTCTACAAAAAGAGTGTTTCAAAACTGCTCAATCAAAAGAAAGGTTCGACTCTGGGAAATTAATGCACACATCACAAAGAAGTTTCTCAGCTTCTGTGTAGTTTTCATGTGAAGTTATTTCCTTTTCCACAATAGGCCGCAAAGGGCTCCAAATATCAACTTACAGATTCTAGGAAAAGAGAGTTTCAAAACTGCTCTACGAAAAGATAGGTTGAACTCTGTGAGATGAATGCACACATCACAAAGAAGTTTCTCAGAATGCATCTGTGTAGTTTTTACGGGAAGACATTTCCTTTTCCACCATCTTCCACAAAGGTCTCCAAGTAACCACTTGCAGATTCTACAGAAAGACACTTTAAAAACTGCTCTATCAAAAGATCAGTTCAAGTCTGTGGTTTGAATGCACACATCACAAAGAATTTTCTCAGAATGCTTCTGTGTAGTTTTCATATGAAGATATTTCCTTTTCCACCATAGGCCTCAAAGCACTCCAAATATCCACTTGCAGATTCTACAAAAAGAGATTTTCAAAACTAGTCAATCAAAAGAAAGGTTCAACTCTGTCAGTTGAATGCACATATCACAAACAAGTTTCTCGGAATGCGTCTGTGTAGTTTTTATGTGAAGATATTTCCTTCTCCACAACAGGCCTCAAAGTGCTCCGAATATCCACTTGCAGATTTTACTAAAGAGTGTTTCCAAACTGCTCAATCAAGAGGAAGTTTCAAGTCTGTGAGCTGAACGCACACATCACAAAGTAGTTTCTGAGAATGCTTCTGTGTAGTTTTTATGTGAAGATGTTTCCTTTTCCACCATAGGCTGCAAAGGGCTCCAAATATCCACTTGCAGATTCTACAAAAAGAGAGTTTCAAAAGTGCTCTATCAAAAGATAGGTTCAACTATGTGATATGAATGCACACATCACAAAGTAGTTTCTCAGAATGCTTCTGTGTAGTTTTTATGTAAAGATATTTCCTTTTCCACCATAGGCCTCAAAGCACTCCAAATATCCACTTGCAGATTCTACAAAAAGAGATTTTCAAAACTATTTAATCAAAAGAAAGGTTCAAATCTGTCAGTTGAAGGTACATATCACAAACAAGTTTATTGGAATGCTTCTGTGTAGTTTTTATGTGAAGATATTTCCTTTTCCACAACAGGCCTCAAGGTGCTCCAAATATCCACTTGCAGATTTCACTAAAAGTGTGTTTCCAAGCTGCTCAATCAAGAGGAAGTTTCAAGTCTGTGAGGTGAATGCACACATTACAAAGAAGTTACTGAGAATGCTTCTGTGTAGTTTTTATGTGAAGATATTTCCTTTTCCACCGCAGGCCTCAAAGCGCTGCAAATATCCACTTGCAGATTCTACAAAAAGAGAGTTTCAAAACTGCTGTATCAAAAGATAGGGTCAACTCTGCGAGTTGAATAAACACATCACAAATAAGTTTCTGGGAACGCTTCTGTATAGTTTTATGTGAATATATTTCCTTTTCCACCATATGCCTCAAAGCACTCCAAATATCCACTTGCACATTATAGAAACATAGTCTTTCAAAACTTGTCAATCAAAGAAAGGTTCAACTCCGTGAGATGAGTGCACACATCACAGAGAAGTTTCTCGGAATGTTTCTGTGTAGTTTTTATGTGAAGATATTGCCTTTTCCACAATAGGCCTCAAAGCGTTCCAAATATCCAATTGCAGATTCCACAAAAAAAGTTTTTTAAAACTGCTCAATCAAATGATAGATTAAACTCTGTGAGATTAGTGCACACATGTCAAAAAAGTTTCTCAGAATGCTTCTGTGTACTTTTTAGGGGAAGATATTTCCTTTTCCACCATCGGCCACAAAGGACTCCAAATAACCACATGCAGATTCTAGTAACACAGAGTTTCAAAACTGCTCTATCAAAAGATAAGTTCAACTCTGAGAGTTTAGTGCAACCATCGTGAAGAAGTTTCTCAGAATGCTTCTGAGTAGTGTTTATGTGAAGATATTTCCTTTTCCACCATAGGCCTGAAAGCCCTCCAAATATCCACTTGCAGATCCTACAAAAAGAAAGTTTCGAAATGCTCTCTCAAACGATAGTTTCGACTCTGTGGTATGAATACACACATCACAAAGAAGTTTCTCAGAATGCTTCTGTGTAGTTTTTAAATGAAGATATTTCTTTTTCCACCATAGGCCTCAAAGCACTCCAAATATGCACTTCCAGATTCTACAAAAAGAGTGTTTCAGAACTGCTCAATCAAAAGGAAGGTTCCAGTCTGAGACAAATACACACATCAAAAGGTAGTTTCTCAGAATGCTTCTGTGTAGTTTTTATGTGAAGATATTTTCCTTTCCACCATAGGCCACAAATGGCTCTAAATACCCACTTACATTTTCCACAAAAAGAGAGTTTCAAAACTGCTCTACCAAAGGTAAGTTTAACGCTGTGAGTTAAGAACATCACAAAGAAGTTTCTCAGAATGCTTCTGTGTAGTTCTTACGTAAAGATATTTCCTTTTACACAATAGGCAGAAAAGTGCTCCAAATATCCACTTGAAGATTCTACAGAAACCGTGTTTCAAAACTGCCGAATCAAAAGAAAGGTTCAACTCTGTGAGATGAATGCACACATAACAAAGGAGTTTCTCAGAATGCTTCTGTGTAGCTTTTATATGAAGACATTTAGTTTTCCACAACAGGCCTCAAAGCTCTCTCCATATCCACTTGCAGATTCTACCGAAAGAGTGCTTCCAAACTGCTCAATCAAAAGAGACATTCAAATCTGTGAGGTGAATGCAGACATCGTAAAGAAGTTTCTCAGAATGCTTCTGTGTATTTTTTGTGTGAAGTTATTCGTTTTTGCACCATAGGCCTCCAAGCGTTCTAAATATCCACTTCTAGATTCTACAAAAAGAGAGTTTCAAAACTACTCAAACAAAAGGTTCAATTCTGTGAGTTGAAAGCAAACATCACAAAGAAGTTTCTCAGAATGCGTTCTGTGTAGTTTTGATGTGAAGATATTTCCTTTTCACAATAGAATGCAAAGGGCTCCAAATATCCACTTGGAGATTCTACAAAAAGAGTTTCAAAACCGCTCTGTCAAATGATAGGTTGAACTCCCGGAGGTGAATACACACATCACAAAGAGGTTTCTCAGCATGCTTCTGTGTAGTTTTTATGTAAACATATTTCCGTTTCTATCATAGGCCTCAAAGTGCTCCAAATATTCACTTGTACATTCTACCAAACGAGTATTTCAAAACTGCTCAATCAAATGGAAGGTTCAAAACTGTGACATGAATGCCCACATCACAAAGTAGTTTCTCAGAATGCTTCTGTGTAGTTTTTATGTGAAGATATTTCCTTTTCCACAACAGCGTGCAAAACGCTTCAAATATGCCCTTAGAGATTCCACAAAAAGAGTGTTTCCAAACTACTCAAATCAAAAAATGATTTCAACTCTGTGAGATGAATGCACACATCACAAACTAGTTTCTCAGAATGTTTCTGCCTGGTTCTCATGCGAAGATAGTTCCTTTTTCACCATAGGCCGCAATGTACTCCAAATATCCACCTGCAGATTCTACAAAAGTGAGTTTCAAAACTGCTCTATCAAAAGATCAGTTCGTCTCTGTGAGTTGAATGCATACATCAAAAAGAAGCTTCTCAAAATGCTTCTGTGTGGTTTTTCGGTGAAGATAGTTCTTTTTCTACCATAGGTCTCAAACCACTCCAAATATCCACTTGTAGATTCTATAAAAAGGAATGTTCAAAATTGCTCAATAAAAATAAAGTTTCAACACCGTGAGATGAGTGCACAAATCACAAAGGAGTTTCTCAAAATGCTTCTGGGTAGTTTTTCTGTGAAGATAGTTCCTTTTCTACCATGGGCCACAAAGGGCTCCAAATACCCACTTGCAGATTCTACAAAAAGAGAGTTTCACAACTGCTCTATCAAACAATATGTTCAACTTTGTGGGTTGAACACAAATATCACAAGAATTTTCTCCCAATGCTTCTGTGTAGTTTTTATGTGAAGACATTTCTTTTCCCTCCATAGTCCACAAAGTGCTCCAAATATCCACTTACATATTCTAGAAAAAGATTGCTTGGAAACTGCACAATGAAAAGAAAGGTTCAAATATATGAGATGAATGCACACATCACAAAGAAGTTTCTCAGAATCTCTCTGTGTAATTTTTATGTGAAGATATTTCCTTTCCCACCTTAGGTCTTAAAACGCTCCAAATATCCACTTGCAGATACTACAAGAAGATTGTTTCAAAACTGCACAAAAAAAGAAATGTTCAATTCTGTTTGATGAATGCACACATCACAAAGAAGTTTCTCAGAATGCTTCTCTGTAGTTTTTATGTGAAGATATTTCCTTTTCCACAATAGGCCTCAAAGGGCTCCAAATATCCACTTCCAGATTCTATGAAAAGAATATTTCCAAACTGCTCAATCATAGGAAATGTTCAACTCTGTGAGATGAATGCACACATCACAAGAAATTTCTCAGAATCCTTCAGTGTAGGTTTTATGAGAAGATAATTCCTTTTCCACAATAGTTCTCAAAGCACTCAAAATATCCACTTGCAGATTCTACAAAAGGAGTATTTCAAAACTGCTCAATCAAAAGAAAGGTTCAACTCCTGTGGGATGAATGGACACATCACAAAGAAGTTTCTCAGAATGCTTCTGTGTAGTATTTTTGTGAAGATATTTCTTTTCCACCATAGACCGCCAGGGGACACAAATATCCACTTTCAGATTCTACAACAAGAGAGGTTCAAAACTACTCGATCAAGAGATGGTTTCAACTATGTGAGTTGAATGCACACATCACAAAGAACTATGTCGGAATTCTTCTGTGTAGTATTTATGTGAAGATATTTCCTTTTCCACAATAGACGTCAAAGTGATCCAGATATCCACTTGCAGATTCCACAAAAAGAGTGTTTCAAAAGTGCACAACCAAAAGAAAGGTTCAACTAGGTGAGATGAATGCACACATCAGAAGGAAGTTTCTCAGAATGCTTCTGCATAGCTTTTAAGGGAAGATACTTCCTTTTCCAACATAGGCCTCAAAGCACTCCAAATATCCTCCTGGAGATACCACAAAAAGAGTGTTTGCAAACTGCTCAATCAAAAGAAAGATTTAACTCTGTGAGATGAATCCACACATGACAAAGAAGTTTCTCAGAATGCTTCTGTGTAGTTTTTATGTGAAGATATTTCCTTTTCCACAATAAGACCCAAAAGGCTCCAAATATTCACTTGCAGATTCTAAAAAAAACAGTGTTTCAAAACTGCTCAATCAAAAGATAGTTCAACTCTGTGAGAAGAATGCTCACATCACTGAGAAGTTTCTCAGAATGCTTCTGTGTAGTTTTATATGAAGATATTTCCTTTCCCACCGTAGGCCACAAAAGGCTCCAAATATCCACTTGCAGATACTATGAAAAGAGAGTTTCAAAAGTGCTCATTCAAAAGATAGGTTCAACTCTGTGGTTTGAATGCACACAGCACAAAGAAGTTTCACAGAATGTGTCTGTGTAGTTTTTATGTGCGGATGTTTCCTTTTCCACCATATGCCTAAATATTTCCCAATTTCCACTTGCAGATTCCACAAGAAGAGTGTTTCAAAACTGCTGTATCAAATAAAGTTGAACTCTGTGAGGTGAATGCACACAGCACAAAATGGTTTCTCAGAATGCTTCCTTGTTGTTTTTATATGAAGATGTTTCCTTTTCAACAATAGGCCTCAAAGTGCTTCAAATGTCCACTTGCAGATTCTACAAAAAGAGTGTTTCAAAACTGCTCAATCAAAAGAAAGGTTCGACTCTGGGAAATTAATGCACACATCACAAAGAAGTTTCTCAGCTTCTGTGTAGTTTTCATGTGAAGTTATTTCCTTTTCCACAATAGGCCGCAAAGGACTCCAAATATCAACTTACAGATTCTAGGAAAAGAGAGTTTCAAAACTGCTCTACGAAAAGATAGGTTGAACTCTGTGAGATGAATGCACACATCACAAAGAAGTTTCTCAGAATGCATCTGTGTAGTTTTTACGGGAAGACATTCTCCTTTTCCACCATCTTCCACAAAGGTCTCCAAGTAACCACTTGCAGATTCTACAGAAAGACACTTTAAAAACTGCTCTATCAAAAGATCAGTTCAAGTCTGTGGTTTGAATGCACACATCACAAAGAATTTTCTCAGAATGCTTCTGTGTAGTTTTCATATGAAGATATTTCCTTTTCCACCATAGGCCTCAAAGCACTCCAAATATCCACTTGCAGATTCTACAAAAAGAGATTTTCAAAACTAGTCAATCAAAAGAAAGGTTCAACTCTGTCAGTTGAATGCACATATCACAAACAAGTTTCTCGGAATGCGTCTGTGTAGTTTTTATGTGAAGATATTTCCTTCTCCACAACAGGCCTCAAAGTGCTCCGAATATCCACTTGCAGATTTTACTAAAGAGTGTTTCCAAACTGCTCAATCAAGAGGAAGTTTCAAGTCTGTGAGCTGAACGCACACATCACAAAGTAGTTTCTGAGAAGGCTTCTGTGTAGTTTTTATGTGAAGATGTTTCCTTTTCCACCATAGGCTGCAAAGGGCTCCAAATATCCACTTGCAGATTCTACAAAAAGAGAGTCTCAAAAGTGCTCTATCAAAAGATAGGTTCAACTATGTGATATGAATGCACACATCACAAAGTAGTTTCTCAGAATGCTTCTGTGTAGTTTTTATGTAAAGATATTTCCTTTTCCACCATAGGCCTCAAAGCACTCCAAATATCCACTTGCAGATTCTACAAAAAGAGATTTTCAAAACTATTTAATCAAAAGAAAGGTTCAAATCTGTCAGTTGAAGGTACATATCACAAACAAGTTTATTGGAATGCTTCTGTGTAGTTTTTATGTGAAGATATTTCCTTTTCCACAACAGGCCTCAAGGTGCTCCAAATATCCACTTGCAGATTTCACTAAAAGTGTGTTTCCAAGCTGCTCAATCAAGAGGAAGTTTCAAGTCTGTGAGGTGAATGCACACATTACAAAGAAGGTTACTGAGAATGCTTCTGTGTAGTTTTTATGTGAAGATATTTCCTTTTCCACCGCAGGCCTCAAAGCGCTGCAAATATCCACTTGCAGATTCTACAAAAAGAGAGTTTCAAAACTGCTGTATCAAAAGATAGGGTCAACTCTGCGAGTTGAATAAACACATCACAAATAAGTTTCTGGGAACGCTTCTGTATAGTTTTATGTGAATATATTTCCTTTTCCACCATATGCCTCAAAGCACTCCAAATATCCACTTGCACATTATAGAAACATAGTCTTTCAAAACTTGTCAATCAAAGAAAGGTTCAACTCCGTGAGATGAGTGCACACATCACAGAGAAGTTTCTCGGAATGTTTCTGTGTAGTTTTTATGTGAAGATATTGCCTTTTCCACAATAGGCCTCAAAGCGTTCCAAATGTCCAATTGCAGATTCCACAAAAAAAGTTTTTTAAAACTGCTCAATCAAATGATAGATTAAACTCTGTGAGATTAGTGCACACATGTCAAAAAAGTTTCTCAGAATGCTTCTGTGTACTTTTTAGGGGAAGATATTTCCTTTTCCACCATCGGCCACAAAGGACTCCAAATAACCACATGCAGATTCTAGTAACACAGAGTTTCAAAACTGCTCTATCAAAAGATAAGTTCAACTCTGAGAGTTTAGTGCAACCATCGTGAAGAAGTTTCTCAGAATGCTTCTGAGTAGTGTTTATGTGAAGATATTTCCTTTTCCACCATAGGCCTGAAAGCCCTCCAAATATCCACTTGCAGATCCTACAAAAAGAAAGTTTCGAAATGCTCTCTCAAACGATAGTTTCGACTCTGTGGTATGAATACACACACACATCACAAAGAAGTTTCTCAGAATGCTTCTGTGTAGTTTTTAAATGAAGATATTTCTTTTTCCACCATAGGCCTCAAAGCACTCCAAATATGCACTTCCAGATTCTACAAAAAGAGTGTTTCAGAACTGCTCAATCAAAAGGAAGGTTCCAGTCTGAGACAAATACACACATCAAAAGGTAGTTTCTCAGAATGCTTCTGTGTAGTTTTTATGTGAAGATATTTTCCTTTCCACCATAGGCCACAAATGGCTCTAAATACCCACTTACATTTTCCACAAAAAGAGAGTTTCAAAACTGCTCTACCAAAGGTAAGTTTAACGCTGTGAGTTAAGAACATCACAAAGAAGTTTCTCAGAATGCTTCTGTGTAGTTCTTACGTAAAGATATTTCCTTTTACACAATAGGCAGAAAAGTGCTCCAAATATCCACTTGAAGATTCTACAGAAACCGTGTTTCAAAACTGCCGAATCAAAAGAAAGGTTCAACTCTGTGAGATGAATGCACACATAACAAAGGAGTTTCTCAGAATGCTTCTGTGTAGCTTTTATATGAAGACATTTAGTTTTCCACAACAGGCCTCAAAGCTCTCTCCATATCCACTTGCAGATTCTACCGAAAGAGTGCTTCCAAACTGCTCAATCAAAAGAGACATTCAAATCTGTGAGGTGAATGCAGACATCGTAAAGAAGTTTCTCAGAATGCTTTCTGTGTATTTTTTGTGTGAAGTTATTCGTTTTTGCACCATAGGCCTCCAAGCGTTCTAAATATCCACTTCTAGATTCTACAAAAAGAGAGTTTCAAAACTACTCAAACAAAAGGTTCAATTCTGTGAGTTGAAAGCAAACATCACAAAGAAGTTTCTCAGAATGCGTCTGTGTAGTTTTGATGTGAAGATATTTCCTTTTCACAGTAGAATGCAAAGGGCTCCAAATATCCACTTGGAGATTCTACAAAAAGAGTTTCAAAACCGCTCTGTCAAATGATAGGTTGAACTCCCGGAGGTGAATACACACATCACAAAGAGGTTTCTCAGCATGCTTCTGTGTAGTTTTTATGTAAACATATTTCCGTTTCTATCATAGGCCTCAAAGTGCTCCAAATATTCACTTGTACATTCTACCAAACGAGTATTTCAAAACTGCTCAATCAAATGGAAGGTTCAAAACTGTGACATGAATGCCCACATCACAAAGTAGTTTCCTCAGAATGCTTCTGTGTAGTTTTTATGTGAAGATATTTCCTTTTCCACAACAGCGTGCAAAACGCTTCAAATATGCCCTTAGAGATTCCACAAAAAGAGTGTTTCCAAACTACTCAAATCAAAAAATGATTTCAACTCTGTGAGATGAATGCACACATCACAAACTAGTTTCTCAGAATGTTTCTGCCTGGTTCTCATGCGAAGAATAGTTCCTTTTTCACCATAGGCCGCAATGTACTCCAAATATCCACCTGCAGATTCTACAAAAGTGAGTTTCAAAACTGCTCTATCAAAAGATCAGTTCGTCTCTGTGAGTTGAATGCATACATCAAAAAGAAGCTTCTCAAAATGCTTCTGTGTGGTTTTTCGGTGAAGATAGTTCTTTTTCTACCATAGGTCTCAAACCACTCCAAATATCCACTTGTAGATTCTATAAAAAGGAATGTTCAAAATTGCTCAATAAAAATAAAGTTTCAACACCGTGAGATGAGTGCACAAATCACAAAGGAGTTTCTCAAAATGCTTCTGGGTAGTTTTTCTGTGAAGATAGTTCCTTTTCTACCATGGGCCACAAAGGGCTCCAAATACCCACTTGCAGATTCTACAAAAAGAGAGTTTCACAACTGCTCTATCAAACAATATGTTCAACTTTGTGGGTTGAACACAAATATCACAAGAATTTTCTCCCAATGCTTCTGTGTAGTTTTTATGTGAAGACATTTCTTTTCCCTCCATAGTCCACAAAGTGCTCCAAATATCCACTTACATATTCTAGAAAAAGATTGCTTGGAAACTGCACAATGAAAAGAAAGGTTCAAATATATGAGATGAATGCACACATCACAAAGAAGTTTCTCAGAATCTCTCTGTGTAATTTTTATGTGAAGATATTTCCTTTCCCACCTTAGGTCTTAAAACGCTCCAAATATCCACTTGCAGATACTACAAGAAGATTGTTTCAAAACTGCACAAAAAAAGAAATGTTCAATTCTGTTTGATGAATGCACACATCACAAAGAAGTTTCTCAGAATGCTTCTCTGTAGTTTTTATGTGAAGATATTTCCTTTTCCACAATAGGCCTCAAAGGGCTCCAAATATCCACTTCCAGATTCTATGAAAAGAATATTTCCAAACTGCTCAATCATAGGAAATGTTCAACTCTGTGAGATGAATGCACACATCACAAGAAATTTCTCAGAATCCTTCAGTGTAGGTTTTATGAGAAGATAATTCCTTTTCCACAATAGTTCTCAAAGCACTCAAAATATCCACTTGCAGATTCTACAAAAGGAGTATTTCAAAACTGCTCAATCAAAAGAAAGGTTCAACTCTGTGAGATGAATGGACACATCACAAAGAAGTTTCTCAGAATGCTTCTGTGTAGTATTTTTGTGAAGATATTTCTTTTCCACCATAGACCGCCAGGGGACACAAATATCCACTTTCAGATTCTACAACAAGAGAGGTTCAAAACTACTCGATCAAGAGATGGTTTCAACTATGTGAGTTGAATGCACACATCACAAAGAACTATGTCGGAATTCTTCTGTGTAGTATTTATGTGAAGATATTTCCTTTTCCACAATAGACGTCAAAGTGATCCAGATATCCACTTGCAGATTCCACAAAAAGAGTGTTTCAAAAGTGCACAACCAAAAGAAAGGTTCAACTAGGTGAGATGAATGCACACATCAGAAGGAAGTTTCTCAGAATGCTTCTGCATAGCTTTTAAGGGAAGATACTTCCTTTTCCAACATAGGCCTCAAAGCACTCCAAATATCCTCCTGGAGATACCACAAAAAGAGTGTTTGCAAACTGCTCAATCAAAAGAAAGATTTAACTCTGTGAGATGAATCCACACATGACAAAGAAGTTTCTCAGAATGCTTCTGTGTAGTTTTTATGTGAAGATATTTCCTTTTCCACAATAAGACCCAAAAGGCTCCAAATATTCACTTGCAGATTCTAAAAAAAACAGTGTTTCAAAACTGCTCAATCAAAAGATAGTTCAACTCTGTGAGAAGAATGCTCACATCACTGAGAAGTTTCTCAGAATGCTTCTGTGTAGTTTTTATATGAAGATATTTCCTTTCCCACCGTAGGCCACAAAAGGCTCCAAATATCCACTTGCAGATACTATGAAAAGAGAGTTTCAAAAGTGCTCATTCAAAAGATAGGTTCAACTCTGTGGTTTGAATGCACACAGCACAAAGAAGTTTCACAGAATGTGTCTGTGTAGTTTTTATGTGCGGATGTTTCCTTTTCCACCATATGCCTAAATATTTCCCAATTTCCACTTGCAGATTCCACAAGAAGAGTGTTTCAAAACTGCTGTATCAAATAAAGTTGAACTCTGTGAGGTGAATGCACACAGCACAAAATGGTTTCTCAGAATGCTTCCTTGTTGTTTTTATATGAAGATGTTTCCTTTTCAACAATAGGCCTCAAAGTGCTTCAAATGTCCACTTGCAGATTCTACAAAAAGAGTGTTTCAAAACTGCTCAATCAAAAGAAAGGTTCGACTCTGGGAAATTAATGCACACATCACAAAGAAGTTTCTCAGCTTCTGTGTAGTTTTCATGTGAAGTTATTTCCTTTTCCACAATAGGCCGCAAAGGGCTCCAAATATCAACTTACAGATTCTAGGAAAAGAGAGTTTCAAAACTGCTCTACGAAAAGATAGGTTGAACTCTGTGAGATGAATGCACACATCACAAAGAAGTTTCTCAGAATGCATCTGTGTAGTTTTTACGGGAAGACATTTCCTTTTCCACCATCTTCCACAAAGGTCTCCAAGTAACCACTTGCAGATTCTACAGAAAGACACTTTAAAAACTGCTCTATCAAAAGATCAGTTCAAGTCTGTGGTTTGAATGCACACATCACAAAGAATTTTCTCAGAATGCTTCTGTGTAGTTTTCATATGAAGATATTTCCTTTTCCACCATAGGCCTCAAAGCACTCCAAATATCCACTTGCAGATTCTACAAAAAGAGATTTTCAAAACTAGTCAATCAAAAGAAAGGTTCAACTCTGTCAGTTGAATGCACATATCACAAACAAGTTTCTCGGAATGCGTCTGTGTAGTTTTTATGTGAAGATATTTCCTTCTCCACAACAGGCCTCAAAGTGCTCCGAATATCCACTTGCAGATTTTACTAAAGAGTGTTTCCAAACTGCTCAATCAAGAGGAAGTTTCAAGTCTGTGAGCTGAACGCACACATCACAAAGTAGTTTCTGAGAAGGCTTCTGTGTAGTTTTTATGTGAAGATGTTTCCTTTTCCACCATAGGCTGCAAAGGGCTCCAAATATCCACTTGCAGATTCTACAAAAAGAGAGTCTCAAAAGTGCTCTATCAAAAGATAGGTTCAACTATGTGATATGAATGCACACATCACAAAGTAGTTTCTCAGAATGCTTCTGTGTAGTTTTTATGTAAAGATATTTCCTTTTCCACCATAGGCCTCAAAGCACTCCAAATATCCACTTGCAGATTCTACAAAAAGAGATTTTCAAAACTATTTAATCAAAAGAAAGGTTCAAATCTGTCAGTTGAAGGTACATATCACAAACAAGTTTATTGGAATGCTTCTGTGTAGTTTTTATGTGAAGATATTTCCTTTTCCACAACAGGCCTCAAGGTGCTCCAAATATCCACTTGCAGATTTCACTAAAAGTGTGTTTCCAAGCTGCTCAATCAAGTAGGAAGTTTCAAGTCTGTGAGGTGAATGCACACATTACAAAGAAGTTACTGAGAATGCTTCTGTGTAGTTTTTATGTGAAGATATTTCCTTTTCCACCGCAGGCCTCAAAGCGCTGCAAATATCCACTTGCAGATTCTACAAAAAGAGAGTTTCAAAACTGCTGTATCAAAAGATAGGGTCAACTCTGCGAGTTGAATAAACACATCACAAATAAGTTTCTGGGAACGCTTCTGTATAGTTTTATGTGAATATATTTCCTTTTCCACCATATGCCTCAAAGCACTCCAAATATCCACTTGCACATTATAGAAACATAGTCTTTCAAAACTTGTCAATCAAAGAAAGGTTCAACTCCGTGAGATGAGTGCACACATCACAGAGAAGTTTCTCGGAATGTTTCTGTGTAGTTTTTATGTGAAGATATTGCCTTTTCCACAATAGGCCTCAAAGCGTTCCAAATATCCAATTGCAGATTCCACAAAAAAAGTTTTTTAAAACTGCTCAATCAAATGATAGATTAAACTCTGTGAGATTAGTGCACACATGTCAAAAAAGTTTCTCAGAATGCTTCTGTGTACTTTTTAGGGGAAGATATTTCCTTTTCCACCATCGGCCACAAAGGACTCCAAATAACCACATGCAGATTCTAGTAACACAGAGTTTCAAAACTGCTCTATCAAAAGATAAGTTCAACTCTGAGAGTTTAGTGCAACCATCGTGAAGAAGTTTCTCAGAATGCTTCTGAGTAGTGTTTATGTGAAGATATTTCCTTTTCCACCATAGGCCTGAAAGCCCTCCAAATATCCACTTGCAGATCCTACAAAAAGAAAGTTTCGAAATGCTCTCTCAAACGATAGTTTCGACTCTGTGGTATGAATACACACATCACAAAGAAGTTTCTCAGAATGCTTCTGTGTAGTTTTTAAATGAAGATATTTCTTTTTCCACCATAGGCCTCAAAGCACTCCAAATATGCACTTCCAGATTCTACAAAAAGAGTGTTTCAGAACTGCTCAATCAAAAGGAAGGTTCCAGTCTGAGACAAATACACACATCAAAAGGTAGTTTCTCAGAATGCTTCTGTGTAGTTTTTATGTGAAGATATTTTCCTTTCCACCATAGGCCACAAATGGCTCTAAATACCCACTTACATTTTCCACAAAAAGAGAGTTTCAAAACTGCTCTACCAAAGGTAAGTTTAACGCTGTGAGTTAAGAACATCACAAAGAAGTTTCTCAGAATGCTTCTGTGTAGTTCTTACGTAAAGATATTTCCTTTTACACAATAGGCAGAAAAGTGCTCCAAATATCCACTTGAAGATTCTACAAAAACCGTGTTTCAAAACTGCCGAATCAAAAGAAAGGTTCAACTCTGTGAGATGAATGCACACATAACAAAAGAGTTTCTCAGAATGCTTCTGTGTAGCTTTTATATGAAGACATTTAGTTTTCCACAACAGGCCTCAAAGCTCTCTCCATATCCACTTGCAGATTCTACCGAAAGAGTGCTTCCAAACTGCTCAATCAAAAGAGACATTCAAATCTGTGAGGTGAATGCAGACATCGTAAAGAAGTTTCTCAGAATGCTTCTGTGTATTTTTTGTGTGAAGTTATTCGTTTTTGCACCATAGGCCTCCAAGCGTTCTAAATATCCACTTCTAGATTCTACAAAAAGAGAGTTTCAAAACTACTCAAACAAAAGGTTCAATTCTGTGAGTTGAAAGCAAACATCACAAAGAAGTTTCTCAGAATGCGTCTGTGTAGTTTTGATGTGAAGATATTTCCTTTTCACAGTAGAATGCAAAGGGCTCCAAATATCCACTTGGAGATTCTACAAAAAGAGTTTCAAAACCGCTCTGTCAAATGATAGGTTGAACTCCCGGAGGTGAATACACACATCACAAAGAGGTTTCTCAGCATGCTTCTGTGTAGTTTTTATGTAAACATATTTCCGTTTCTATCATAGGCCTCAAAGTGCTCCAAATATTCACTTGTACATTCTACCAAACGAGTATTTCAAAACTGCTCAATCAAATGGAATGTTCAAAACCGTGACATGAATGCCCACATCACAAAGTAGTTTCTCAGATGCTTCTGTGTAGTTTTTATGTGAAGATATTTCCTTTTCCACAACAGCGTGCAAAACGCTTCAAATATGCCCTTAGAGATTCCACAAAAAGAGTGTTTCCAAACTACTCAAATCAAAAAATGATTTCAACTCTGTGAGATGAATGCACACATCACAAACTAGTTTCTCAGAATGTTTCTGCCTGGTTCTCATGCGAAGAATAGTTCCTTTTTCACCATAGGCCGCAATGTACTCCAAATATCCACCTGCAGATTCTACAAAAGTGAGTTTCAAAACTGCTCTATCAAAAGATCAGTTCGTCTCTGTGAGTTGAATGCATACATCAAAAAGAAGCTTCTCAAAATGCTTCTGTGTGGTTTTTCGGTGAAGATAGTTCTTTTTCTACCATAGGTCTCAAACCACTCCAAATATCCACTTGTAGATTCTATAAAAAGGAATGTTCAAAATTGCTCAATAAAAATAAAGTTTCAACACCGTGAGATGAGTGCACAAATCACAAAGGAGTTTCTCAAAATGCTTCTGGGTAGTTTTTCTGTGAAGATAGTTCCTTTTCTACCATGGGTCACAAAGGGCTCCAAATACCCACTTGCAGATTCTACAAAAAGAGAGTTTCACAACTGCTCTATCAAACAATATGTTCAACTTTGTGGGTTGAACACAAATATCACAAGAATTTTCTCCCAATGCTTCCTGTGTAGTTTTTATGTGAAGACATTTCTTTTCCCTCCATAGTCCACAAAGTGCTCCAAATATCCACTTACATATTCTAGAAAAAGATTGCTTGGAAACTGCACAATGAAAAGAAAGGTTCAAATATATGAGATGAATGCACACATCACAAAGAAGTTTCTCAGAATCTCTCTGTGTAATTTTTATGTGAAGATATTTCCTTTCCCACCTTAGGTCTTAAAACGCTCCAAATATCCACTTGCAGATACTACAAGAAGATTGTTTCAAAACTGCACAAAAAAAGAAATGTTCAATTCTGTTTGATGAATGCACACATCACAAAGAAGTTTCTCAGAATGCTTCTCTGTAGTTTTTATGTGAAGATATTTCCTTTTCCACAATAGGCCTCAAAGGGCTCCAAATATCCACTTCCAGATTCTATGAAAAGAATATTTCCAAACTGCTCAATCATAGGAAATGTTCAACTCCTGTGAGATGAATGCACACATCACAAGAAATTTCTCAGAATCCTTCAGTGTAGGTTTTATGAGAAGATAATTCCTTTTCCACAATAGTTCTCAAAGCACTCAAAATATCCACTTGCAGATTCTACAAAAGGAGTATTTCAAAACTGCTCAATCAAAAGAAAGGTTCAACTCTGTGAGATGAATGGACACATCACAAAGAAGTTTCTCAGAATGCTTCTGTGTAGTATTTTTGTGAAGATATTTCTTTTCCACCATAGACCGCCAGGGGACACAAATATCCACTTTCAGATTCTACAACAAGAGAGGTTCAAAACTACTCGATCAAGAGATGGTTTCAACTATGTGAGTTGAATGCACACATCACAAAGAACTATGTCGGAATTCTTCTGTGTAGTTTTTATGTGAAGATATTTCCTTTTCCACAATAGACGTCAAAGTGATCCAGATATCCACTTGCAGATTCCACAAAAAGAGTGTTTCAAAAGTGCACAACCAAAAGAAAGGTTCAACTAGGTGAGATGAATGCACACATCAGAAGGAAGTTTCTCAGAATGCTTCTGCATAGCTTTTAAGGGAAGATACTTCCTTTTCCAACATAGGCCTCAAAGCACTCCAAATATCCTCCTGGAGATACCACAAAAAGAGTGTTTGCAAACTGCTCAATCAAAAGAAAGATTTAACTCTGTGAGATGAATCCACACATGACAAAGAAGTTTCTCAGAATGCTTCTGTGTAGTTTTTATGTGAAGATATTTCCTTTTCCACAATAAGACCCAAAAGGCTCCAAATATTCACTTGCAGATTCTAAAAAAAACAGTGTTTCAAAACTGCTCAATCAAAAGATAGTTCAACTCTGTGAGAAGAATGCTCACATCACTGAGAAGTTTCTCAGAATGCTTCTGTGTAGTTTTTATATGAAGATATTTCCTTTCCCACCGTAGGCCACAAAAGGCTCCAAATATCCACTTGCAGATACTATGAAAAGAGAGTTTCAAAACTGCTCATTCAAAAGATAGGTTCAACTCTGTGGTTTGAATGCACACAGCACAAAGAAGTTTCACAGAATGTGTCTGTGTAGTTTTTATGTGCGGATGTTTCCTTTTCCACCATATGCCTAAATATTTCCCAATTTCCACTTGCAGATTCCACAAGAAGAGTGTTTCAAAACTGCTGTATCAAATAAAGTTGAACTCTGTGAGGTGAATGCACACAGCACAAAATGGTTTCTCAGAATGCTTCCTTGTTGTTTTTATATGAAGATGTTTCCTTTTCAACAATAGGCCTCAAAGTGCTTCAAATGTCCACTTGCAGATTCTACAAAAAGAGTGTTTCAAAACTGCTCAATCAAAAGAAAGGTTCGACTCTGGGAAATTAATGCACACATCACAAAGAAGTTTCTCAGCTTCTGTGTAGTTTTCATGTGAAGTTATTTCCTTTTCCACAATAGGCCGCAAAGGGCTCCAAATATCAACTTACAGATTCTAGGAAAAGAGAGTTTCAAAACTGCTCTACGAAAAGATAGGTTGAACTCTGTGAGATGAATGCACACATCACAAAGAAGTTTCTCAGAATGCATCTGTGTAGTTTTTACGGGAAGACATTTCCTTTTCCACCATCTTCCACAAAGGTCTCCAAGTAACCACTTGCAGATTCTACAGAAAGACACTTTAAAAACTGCTCTATCAAAAGATCAGTTCAAGTCTGTGGTTTGAATGCACACATCACAAAGAATTTTCTCAGAATGCTTCTGTGTAGTTTTCATATGAAGATATTTCCTTTTCCACCATAGGCCTCAAAGCACTCCAAATATCCACTTGCAGATTCTACAAAAAGAGATTTTCAAAACTAGTCAATCAAAAGAAAGGTTCAACTCTGTCAGTTGAATGCACATATCACAAACAAGTTTCTCGGAATGCGTCTGTGTAGTTTTTATGTGAAGATATTTCCTTCTCCACAACAGGCCTCAAAGTGCTCCGAATATCCACTTGCAGATTTTACTAAAGAGTGTTTCCAAACTGCTCAATCAAGAGGAAGTTTCAAGTCTGTGAGCTGAACGCACACATCACAAAGTAGTTTCTGAGAATGCTTCTGTGTAGTTTTTATGTGAAGATGTTTCCTTTTCCACCATAGGCTGCAAAGGGCTCCAAATATCCACTTGCAGATTCTACAAAAAGAGAGTTTCAAAAGTGCTCTATCAAAAGATAGGTTCAACTATGTGATATGAATGCACACATCACAAAGTAGTTTCTCAGAATGCTTCTATGTAGTTTTTATGTAAAGATATTTCCTTTTCCACCATAGGCCTCAAAGCACTCCAAATATCCACTTGCAGATTCTACAAAAAGAGATTTTCAAAACTATTTAATCAAAAGAAAGGTTCAAATCTGTCAGTTGAAGGTACATATCACAAACAAGTTTATTGGAATGCTTCTGTGTAGTTTTTATGTGAAGATATTTCCTTTTCCACAACAGGCCTCAAGGTGCTCCAAATATCCACTTGCAGATTTCACTAAAAGTGTGTTTCCAAGCTGCTCAATCAAGAGGAAGTTTCAAGTCTGTGAGGTGAATGCACACATTACAAAGAAGTTACTGAGAATGCTTCTGTGTAGTTTTTATGTGAAGATATTTCCTTTTCCACCGCAGGCCTCAAAGCGCTGCAAATATCCACTTGCAGATTCTACAAAAAGAGAGTTTCAAAACTGCTGTATCAAAAGATAGGGTCAACTCTGCGAGTTGAATAAGCACATCACAAATAAGTTTCTGGGAACGCTTCTGTATAGTTTTATGTGAATATATTTCCTTTTCCACCATATGCCTCAAAGCACTCCAAATATCCACTTGCACATTATAGAAACATAGTCTTTCAAAACTTGTCAATCAAAGAAAGGTTCAACTCCGTGAGATGAGTGCACACATCACAGAGAAGTTTCTCGGAATGTTTCTGTGTAGTTTTTATGTGAAGATATTGCCTTTTCCACAATAGGCCTCAAAGCGTTCCAAATATCCAATTGCAGATTCCACAAAAAAAGTTTTTTAAAACTGCTCAATCAAATGATAGATTAAACTCTGTGAGATTAGTGCACACATGTCAAAAAAGTTTCTCAGAATGCTTCTGTGTACTTTTTAGGGGAAGATATTTCCTTTTCCACCATCGGCCACAAAGGACTCCAAATAACCACATGCAGATTCTAGTAACACAGAGTTTCAAAACTGCTCTATCAAAAGATAAGTTCAACTCTGAGAGTTTAGTGCAACCATCGTGAAGAAGTTTCTCAGAATGCTTCTGAGTAGTGTTTATGTGAAGATATTTCCTTTTCCACCATAGGCCTGAAAGCCCTCCAAATATCCACTTGCAGATCCTACAAAAAGAAAGTTTCGAAATGCTCTCTCAAACGATAGTTTCGACTCTGTGGTATGAATACACACATCACAAAGAAGTTTCTCAGAATGCTTCTGTGTAGTTTTTAAATGAAGATATTTCTTTTTCCACCATAGGCCTCAAAGCACTCCAAATATGCACTTCCAGATTCTACAAAAAGAGTGTTTCAGAACTGCTCAATCAAAAGGAAGGTTCCAGTCTGAGACAAATACACACATCAAAAGGTAGTTTCTCAGAATGCTTCTGTGTAGTTTTTATGTGAAGATATTTTCCTTTCCACCATAGGCCACAAATGGCTCTAAATACCCACTTACATTTTCCACAAAAAGAGAGTTTCAAAACTGCTCTACCAAAGGTAAGTTTAACGCTGTGAGTTAAGAACATCACAAAGAAGTTTCTCAGAATGCTTCTGTGTAGTTCTTACGTAAAGATATTTCCTTTTACACAATAGGCAGAAAAGTGCTCCAAATATCCACTTGAAGATTCTACAAAAACCGTGTTTCAAAACTGCCGAATCAAAAGAAAGGTTCAACTCTGTGAGATGAATGCACACATAACAAAGGAGTTTCTCAGAATGCTTCTGTGTAGCTTTTATATGAAGACATTTAGTTTTCCACAACAGGCCTCAAAGCTCTCTCCATATCCACTTGCAGATTCTACCGAAAGAGTGCTTCCAAACTGCTCAATCAAAAGAGACATTCAAATCTGTGAGGTGAATGCAGACATCGTAAAGAAGTTTCTCAGAATGCTTCTGTGTATTTTTTGTGTGAAGTTATTCGTTTTTGCACCATAGGCCTCCAAGCGTTCTAAATATCCACTTCTAGATTCTACAAAAAGAGAGTTTCAAAACTACTCAAACAAAAGGTTCAATTCTGTGAGTTGAAAGCAAACATCACAAAGAAGTTTCTCAGAATGCGTCTGTGTAGTTTTGATGTGAAGATATTTCCTTTTCACAGTAGAATGCAAAGGGCTCCAAATATCCACTTGGAGATTCTACAAAAAGAGTTTCAAAACCGCTCTGTCAAATGATAGGTTGAACTCCCGGAGGTGAATACACACATCACAAAGAGGTTTCTCAGCATGCTTCTGTGTAGTTTTTATGTAAACATATTTCCGTTTCTATCATAGGCCTCAAAGTGCTCCAAATATTCACTTGTACATTCTACCAAACGAGTATTTCAAAACTGCTCAATCAAATGGAAGGTTCAAAACCGTGACATGAATGCCCACATCACAAAGTAGTTTCTCAGAATGCTTCTGTGTAGTTTTTATGTGAAGATATTTCCTTTTCCACAACAGCGTGCAAAACGCTTCAAATATGCCCTTAGAGATTCCACAAAAAGAGTGTTTCCAAACTACTCAAATCAAAAAATGATTTCAACTCTGTGAGATGAATGCACACATCACAAACTAGTTTCTCAGAATGTTTCTGCCTGGTTCTCATGCGAAGATAGTTCCTTTTTCACCATAGGCCGCAATGTACTCCAAATATCCACCTGCAGATTCTACAAAAGTGAGTTTCAAAACTGCTCTATCAAAAGATCAGTTCGTCTCTGTGAGTTGAATGCATACATCAAAAAGAAGCTTCTCAAAATGCTTCTGTGTGGTTTTTCGGTGAAGATAGTTCTTTTTCTACCATAGGTCTCAAACCACTCCAAATATCCACTTGTAGATTCTATAAAAAGGAATGTTCAAAATTGCTCAATAAAAATAAAGTTTCAACACCGTGAGATGAGTGCACAAATCACAAAGGAGTTTCTCAAAATGCTTCTGGGTAGTTTTTCTGTGAAGATAGTTCCTTTTCTACCATGGGCCACAAAGGGCTCCAAATACCCACTTGCAGATTCTACAAAAAGAGAGTTTCACAACTGCTCTATCAAACAATATGTTCAACTTTGTGGGTTGAACACAAATATCACAAGAATTTTCTCCCAATGCTTCTGTGTAGTTTTTATGTGAAGACATTTCTTTTCCCTCCATAGTCCACAAAGTGCTCCAAATATCCACTTACATATTCTAGAAAAAGATTGCTTGGAAACTGCACAATGAAAAGAAAGGTTCAAATATATGAGATGAATGCACACATCACAAAGAAGTTTCTCAGAATCTCTCTGTGTAATTTTTATGTGAAGATATTTCCTTTCCCACCTTAGGTCTTAAAACGCTCCAAATATCCACTTGCAGATACTACAAGAAGATTGTTTCAAAACTGCACAAAAAAAGAAATGTTCAATTCTGTTTGATGAATGCACACATCACAAAGAAGTTTCTCAGAATGCTTCTCTGTAGTTTTTATGTGAAGATATTTCCTTTTCCACAATAGGCCTCAAAGGGCTCCAAATATCCACTTCCAGATTCTATGAAAAGAATATTTCCAAACTGCTCAATCATAGGAAATGTTCAACTCTGTGAGATGAATGCACACATCACAAGAAATTTCTCAGAATCCTTCAGTGTAGGTTTTATGAGAAGATAATTCCTTTTCCACAATAGTTCTCAAAGCACTCAAAATATCCACTTGCAGATTCTACAAAAGGAGTATTTCAAAACTGCTCAATCAAAAGAAAGGTTCAACTCTGTGGGATGAATGGACACATCACAAAGAAGTTTCTCAGAATGCTTCTGTGTAGTATTTTTGTGAAGATATTTCTTTTCCACCATAGACCGCCAGGGGACACAAATATCCACTTTCAGATTCTACAACAAGAGAGGTTCAAAACTACTCGATCAAGAGATGGTTTCAACTATGTGAGTTGAATGCACACATCACAAAGAACTATGTCGGAATTCTTCTGTGTAGTTTTTATGTGAAGATATTTCCTTTTCCACAATAGACGTCAAAGTGATCCAGATATCCACTTGCAGATTCCACAAAAAGAGTGTTTCAAAAGTGCACAACCAAAAGAAAGGTTCAACTAGGTGAGATGAATGCACACATCAGAAGGAAGTTTCTCAGAATGCTTCTGCATAGCTTTTAAGGGAAGATACTTCCTTTTCCAACATAGGCCTCAAAGCACTCCAAATATCCTCCTGGAGATACCACAAAAAGAGTGTTTGCAAACTGCTCAATCAAAAGAAAGATTTAACTCTGTGAGATGAATCCACACATGACAAAGAAGTTTCTCAGAATGCTTCTGTGTAGTTTTTATGTGAAGATATTTCCTTTTCCACAATAAGACCCAAAAGGCTCCAAATATTCACTTGCAGATTCTAAAAAAAACAGTGTTTCAAAACTGCTCAATCAAAAGATAGTTCAACTCTGTGAGAAGAATGCTCACATCACTGAGAAGTTTTCTCAGAATGCTTTCCTGTGTAGTTTTTATATGAAGATATTTCCTTTCCCACCATAGGCCACAAAAGGCTCCAAATATCCACTTGCAGATACTATGAAAAGAGAGTTTCAAAACTGCTCATTCAAAAGATAGGTTCAACTCTGTGGTTTGAATGCACACAGCACAAAGAAGTTTCACAGAATGTGTCTGTGTAGTTTTTATGTGCGGATGTTTCCTTTTCCACCATATGCCTAAATATTTCCCAATTTCCACTTGCAGATTCTACAAGAAGAGTGTTTCAAAACTGCTGTATCAAATAAAGTTGAACTCTGTGAGGTGAATGCACACAGCACAAAATGGTTTCTCAGAATGCTTCCTTGTTTTTATATGAAGATGTTTCCTTTTCAACAATAGGCCTCAAAGTGCTTCAAATGTCCACTTGCAGATTCTACAAAAAGAGTGTTTCAAAACTGCTCAATCAAAAGAAAGGTTCGACTCTGGGAAATTAATGCACACATCACAAAGAAGTTTCTCAGCTTCTGTGTAGTTTTCATGTGAAGTTATTTCCTTTTCCACAATAGGCCGCAAAGGGCTCCAAATATCAACTTACAGATTCTAGGAAAAGAGAGTTTCAAAACTGCTCTACGAAAAGATAGGTTGAACTCTGTGAGATGAATGCACACATCACAAAGAAGTTTCTCAGAATGCATCTGTGTAGTTTTTACGGGAAGACATTTCCTTTTCCACCATCTTCCACAAAGGTCTCCAAGTAACCACTTGCAGATTCTACAGAAAGACACTTTAAAAACTGCTCTATCAAAAGATCAGTTCAAGTCTGTGGTTTGAATGCACACATCACAAAGAATTTTCTCAGAATGCTTCTGTGTAGTTTTCATATGAAGATATTTCCTTTTCCACCATAGGCCTCAAAGCACTCCAAATATCCACTTGCAGATTCTACAAAAAGAGATTTTCAAAACTAGTCAATCAAAAGAAAGGTTCAACTCTGTCAGTTGAATGCACATATCACAAACAAGTTTCTCGGAATGCGTCTGTGTAGTTTTTATGTGAAGATATTTCCTTCTCCACAACAGGCCTCAAAGTGCTCCGAATATCCACTTGCAGATTTTACTAAAGAGTGTTTCCAAACTGCTCAATCAAGAGGAAGTTTCAAGTCTGTGAGCTGAACGCACACATCACAAAGTAGTTTCTGAGAATGCTTCTGTGTAGTTTTTATGTGAAGATGTTTCCTTTTCCACCATAGGCTGCAAAGGGCTCCAAATATCCACTTGCAGATTCTACAAAAAGAGAGTTTCAAAAGTGCTCTATCAAAAGATAGGTTCAACTATGTGATATGAATGCACACATCACAAAGTAGTTTCTCAGAATGCTTCTGTGTAGTTTTTATGTAAAGATATTTCCTTTTCCACCATAGGCCTCAAAGCACTCCAAATATCCACTTGCAGATTCTACAAAAAGAGATTTTCAAAACTATTTAATCAAAAGAAAGGTTCAAATCTGTCAGTTGAAGGTACATATCACAAACAAGTTTATTGGAATGCTTCTGTGTAGTTTTTATGTGAAGATATTTCCTTTTCCACAACAGGCCTCAAGGTGCTCCAAATATCCACTTGCAGATTTCACTAAAAGTGTGTTTCCAAGCTGCTCAATCAAGAGGAAGTTTCAAGTCTGTGAGGTGAATGCACACATTACAAAGAAGGTTACTGAGAATGCTTCTGTGTAGTTTTTATGTGAAGATATTTCCTTTTCCACCGCAGGCCTCAAAGCGCTGCAAATATCCACTTGCAGATTCTACAAAAAGAGAGTTTCAAAACTGCTGTATCAAAAGATAGGGTCAACTCTGCGAGTTGAATAAACACATCACAAATAAGTTTCTGGGAACGCTTCTGTATAGTTTTATGTGAATATATTTCCTTTTCCACCATATGCCTCAAAGCACTCCAAATATCCACTTGCACATTATAGAAACATAGTCTTTCAAAACTTGTCAATCAAAGAAAGGTTCAACTCCGTGAGATGAGTGCACACATCACAGAGAAGTTTCTCGGAATGTTTCTGTGTAGTTTTTATGTGAAGATATTGCCTTTTCCACAATAGGCCTCAAAGCGTTCCAAATATCCAATTGCAGATTCCACAAAAAAAGTTTTTTAAAACTGCTCAATCAAATGATAGATTAAACTCTGTGAGATTAGTGCACACATGTCAAAAAAGTTTCTCAGAATGCTTCTGTGTACTTTTTAGGGGAAGATATTTCCTTTTCCACCATCGGCCACAAAGGACTCCAAATAACCACATGCAGATTCTAGTAACACAGAGTTTCAAAACTGCTCTATCAAAAGATAAGTTCAACTCTGAGAGTTTAGTGCAACCATCGTGAAGAAGTTTCTCAGAATGCTTCTGAGTAGTGTTTATGTGAAGATATTTCCTTTTCCACCATAGGCCTGAAAGCCCTCCAAATATCCACTTGCAGATCCTACAAAAAGAAAGTTTCGAAATGCTCTCTCAAACGATAGTTTCGACTCTGTGGTATGAATACACACATCACAAAGAAGTTTCTCAGAATGCTTCTGTGTAGTTTTTAAATGAAGATATTTCTTTTTCCACCATAGGCCTCAAAGCACTCCAAATATGCACTTCCAGATTCTACAAAAAGAGTGTTTCAGAACTGCTCAATCAAAAGGAAGGTTCCAGTCTGAGACAAATACACACATCAAAAGGTAGTTTCTCAGAATGCTTCTGTGTAGTTTTTATGTGAAGATATTTTCCTTTCCACCATAGGCCACAAATGGCTCTAAATACCCACTTACATTTTCCACAAAAAGAGAGTTTCAAAACTGCTCTACCAAAGGTAAGTTTAACGCTGTGAGTTAAGAACATCACAAAGAAGTTTCTCAGAATGCTTCTGTGTAGTTCTTACGTAAAGATATTTCCTTTTACACAATAGGCAGAAAAGTGCTCCAAATATCCACTTGAAGATTCTACAGAAACCGTGTTTCAAAACTGCCGAATCAAAAGAAAGGTTCAACTCTGTGAGATGAATGCACACATAACAAAGGAGTTTCTCAGAATGCTTCTGTGTAGCTTTTATATGAAGACATTTAGTTTTCCACAACAGGCCTCAAAGCTCTCTCCATATCCACTTGCAGATTCTACCGAAAGAGTGCTTCCAAACTGCTCAATCAAAAGAGACATTCAAATCTGTGAGGTGAATGCAGACATCGTAAAGAAGTTTCTCAGAATGCTTCTGTGTATTTTTTGTGTGAAGTTATTCGTTTTTGCACCATAGGCCTCCAAGCGTTCTAAATATCCACTTCTAGATTCTACAAAAAGAGAGTTTCAAAACTACTCAAACAAAAGGTTCAATTCTGTGAGTTGAAAGCAAACATCACAAAGAAGTTTCTCAGAATGCGTCTGTGTAGTTTTGATGTGAAGATATTTCCTTTTCACAGTAGAATGCAAAGGGCTCCAAATATCCACTTGGAGATTCTACAAAAAGAGTTTCAAAACCGCTCTGTCAAATGATAGGTTGAACTCCCGGAGGTGAATACACACATCACAAAGAGGTTTCTCAGCATGCTTCTGTGTAGTTTTTATGTAAACATATTTCCGTTTCTATCATAGGCCTCAAAGTGCTCCAAATATTCACTTGTACATTCTACCAAACGAGTATTTCAAAACTGCTCAATCAAATGGAAGGTTCAAAACCGTGACATGAATGCCCACATCACAAAGTAGTTTCTCAGAATGCTTCTGTGTAGTTTTTATGTGAAGATATTTCCTTTTCCACAACAGCGTGCAAAACGCTTCAAATATGCCCTTAGAGATTCCACAAAAAGAGTGTTTCCAAACTACTCAAATCAAAAAATGATTTCAACTCTGTGAGATGAATGCACACATCACAAACTAGTTTCTCAGAATGTTTCTGCCTGGTTCTCATGCGAAGATAGTTCCTTTTTCACCATAGGCCGCAATGTACTCCAAATATCCACCTGCAGATTCTACAAAAGTGAGTTTCAAAACTGCTCTATCAAAAGATCAGTTCGTCTCTGTGAGTTGAATGCATACATCAAAAAGAAGCTTCTCAAAATGCTTCTGTGTGGTTTTTCGGTGAAGATAGTTCTTTTTCTACCATAGGTCTCAAACCACTCCAAATATCCACTTGTAGATTCTATAAAAAGGAATGTTCAAAATTGCTCAATAAAAATAAAGTTTCAACACCGTGAGATGAGTGCACAAATCACAAAGAAGTTTCTCAAAATGCTTCTGGGTAGTTTTTCTGTGAAGATAGTTCCTTTTCTACCATGGGCCACAAAGGGCTCCAAATACCCACTTGCAGATTCTACAAAAAGAGAGTTTCACAACTGCTCTATCAAACAATATGTTCAACTTTGTGGGTTGAACACAAATATCACAAGAATTTTCTCCCAATGCTTCTGTGTAGTTTTTATGTGAAGACATTTCTTTTCCCTCCATAGTCCACAAAGTGCTCCAAATATCCACTTACATATTCTAGAAAAAGATTGCTTGGAAACTGCACAATGAAAAGAAAGGTTCAAATATATGAGATGAATGCACACATCACAAAGAAGTTTCTCAGAATCTCTCTGTGTAATTTTTATGTGAAGATATTTCCTTTCCCACCTTAGGTCTTAAAACGCTCCAAATATCCACTTGCAGATACTACAAGAAGATTGTTTCAAAACTGCACAAAAAAAGAAATGTTCAATTCTGTTTGATGAATGCACACATCACAAAGAAGTTTCTCAGAATGCTTCTCTGTAGTTTTTATGTGAAGATATTTCCTTTTCCACAATAGGCCTCAAAGGGCTCCAAATATCCACTTCCAGATTCTATGAAAAGAATATTTCCAAACTGCTCAATCATAGGAAATGTTCAACTCTGTGAGATGAATGCACACATCACAAGAAATTTCTCAGAATCCTTCAGTGTAGGTTTTATGAGAAGATAATTCCTTTTCCACAATAGTTCTCAAAGCACTCAAAATATCCACTTGCAGATTCTACAAAAGGAGTATTTCAAAACTGCTCAATCAAAAGAAAGGTTCAACTCTGTGAGATGAATGGACACATCACAAAGAAGTTTCTCAGAATGCTTCTGTGTAGTATTTTTGTGAAGATATTTCTTTTCCACCATAGACCGCCAGGGGACACAAATATCCACTTTCAGATTCTACAACAAGAGAGGTTCAAAACTACTCGATCAAGAGATGGTTTCAACTATGTGAGTTGAATGCACACATCACAAAGAACTATGTCGGAATTCTTCTGTGTAGTTTTTATGTGAAGATATTTCCTTTTCCACAATAGACGTCAAAGTGATCCAGATATCCACTTGCAGATTCCACAAAAAGAGTGTTTCAAAAGTGCACAACCAAAAGAAAGGTTCAACTAGGTGAGATGAATGCACACATCAGAAGGAAGTTTCTCAGAATGCTTCTGCATAGCTTTTAAGGGAAGATACTTCCTTTTCCAACATAGGCCTCAAAGCACTCCAAATATCCTCCTGGAGATACCACAAAAAGAGTGTTTGCAAACTGCTCAATCAAAAGAAAGATTTAACTCTGTGAGATGAATCCACACATGACAAAGAAGTTTCTCAGAATGCTTCTGTGTAGTTTTTATGTGAAGATATTTCCTTTTCCACAATAAGACCCAAAAGGCTCCAAATATTCACTTGCAGATTCTAAAAAAAACAGTGTTTCAAAACTGCTCAATCAAAAGATAGTTCAACTCTGTGAGAAGAATGCTCACATCACTGAGAAGTTTCTCAGAATGCTTCTGTGTAGTTTTTATATGAAGATATTTCCTTTCCCACCGTAGGCCACAAAAGGCTCCAAATATCCACTTGCAGATACTATGAAAAGAGAGTTTCAAAACTGCTCATTCAAAAGATAGGTTCAACTCTGTGGTTTGAATGCACACAGCACAAAGAAGTTTCACAGAATGTGTCTGTGTAGTTTTTATGTGCGGATGTTTCCTTTTCCACCATATGCCTAAATATTTCCCAATTTCCACTTGCAGATTCCACAAGAAGAGTGTTTCAAAACTGCTGTATCAAATAAAGTTGAACTCTGTGAGGTGAATGCACACAGCACAAAATGGTTTCTCAGAATGCTTTCCTTGTTGTTTTTATATGAAGATGTTTCCTTTTCAACAATAGGCCTCAAAGTGCTTCAAATGTCCACTTGCAGATTCTACAAAAAGAGTGTTTCAAAACTGCTCAATCAAAAGAAAGGTTCGACTCTGGGAAATTAATGCACACATCACAAAGAAGTTTCTCAGCTTCTGTGTAGTTTTCATGTGAAGTTATTTCCTTTTCCACAATAGGCCGCAAAGGGCTCCAAATATCAACTTACAGATTCTAGGAAAAGAGAGTTTCAAAACTGCTCTACGAAAAGATAGGTTGAACTCTGTGAGATGAATGCACACATCACAAAGAAGTTTCTCAGAATGCATCTGTGTAGTTTTTACGGGAAGACATTTCCTTTTCCACCATCTTCCACAAAGGTCTCCAAGTAACCACTTGCAGATTCTACAGAAAGACACTTTAAAAACTGCTCTATCAAAAGATCAGTTCAAGTCTGTGGTTTGAATGCACACATCACAAAGAATTTTCTCAGAATGCTTCTGTGTAGTTTTCATATGAAGATATTTCCTTTTCCACCATAGGCCTCAAAGCACTCCAAATATCCACTTGCAGATTCTACAAAAAGAGATTTTCAAAACTAGTCAATCAAAAGAAAGGTTCAACTCTGTCAGTTGAATGCACATATCACAAACAAGTTTCTCGGAATGCGTCTGTGTAGTTTTTATGTGAAGATATTTCCTTCTCCACAACAGGCCTCAAAGTGCTCCGAATATCCACTTGCAGATTTTACTAAAGAGTGTTTCCAAACTGCTCAATCAAGAGGAAGTTTCAAGTCTGTGAGCTGAACGCACACATCACAAAGTAGTTTCTGAGAATGCTTCTGTGTAGTTTTTATGTGAAGATGTTTTCTTTTCCACCATAGGCTGCAAAGGGCTCCAAATATCCACTTGCAGATTCTACAAAAAGAGAGTTTCAAAAGTGCTCTATCAAAAGATAGGTTCAACTATGTGATATGAATGCACACATCACAAAGTAGTTTCTCAGAATGCTTCTGTGTAGTTTTTATGTAAAGATATTTCCTTTTCCACCATAGGCCTCAAAGCACTCCAAATATCCACTTGCAGATTCTACAAAAAGAGATTTTCAAAACTATTTAATCAAAAGAAAGGTTCAAATCTGTCAGTTGAAGGTACATATCACAAACAAGTTTATTGGAATGCTTCTGTGTAGTTTTTATGTGAAGATATTTCCTTTTCCACAACAGGCCTCAAGGTGCTCCAAATATCCACTTGCAGATTTCACTAAAAGTGTGTTTCCAAGCTGCTCAATCAAGAGGAAGTTTCAAGTCTGTGAGGTGAATGCACACATTACAAAGAAGTTACTGAGAATGCTTCTGTGTAGTTTTTATGTGAAGATATTTCCTTTTCCACCGCAGGCCTCAAAGCGCTGCAAATATCCACTTGCAGATTCTACAAAAAGAGAGTTTCAAAACTGCTGTATCAAAAGATAGGGTCAACTCTGCGAGTTGAATAAGCACATCACAAATAAGTTTCTGGGAACGCTTCTGTATAGTTTTATGTGAATATATTTCCTTTTCCACCATATGCCTCAAAGCACTCCAAATATCCACTTGCACATTATAGAAACATAGTCTTTCAAAACTTGTCAATCAAAGAAAGGTTCAACTCCGTGAGATGAGTGCACACATCACAGAGAAGTTTCTCGGAATGTTTCTGTGTAGTTTTTATGTGAAGATATTGCCTTTTCCACAATAGGCCTCAAAGCGTTCCAAATATCCAATTGCAGATTCCACAAAAAAAGTTTTTTAAAACTGCTCAATCAAATGATAGATTAAACTCTGTGAGATTAGTGCACACATGTCAAAAAAGTTTCTCAGAATGCTTCTGTGTACTTTTTAGGGGAAGATATTTCCTTTTCCACCATCGGCCACAAAGGACTCCAAATAACCACATGCAGATTCTAGTAACACAGAGTTTCAAAACTGCTCTATCAAAAGATAAGTTCAACTCTGAGAGTTTAGTGCAACCATCGTGAAGAAGTTTCTCAGAATGCTTCTGAGTAGTGTTTATGTGAAGATATTTCCTTTTCCACCATAGGCCTGAAAGCCCTCCAAATATCCACTTGCAGATCCTACAAAAAGAAAGTTTCGAAATGCTCTCTCAAACGATAGTTTCGACTCTGTGGTATGAATACACACACACATCACAAAGAAGTTTCTCAGAATGCTTCTGTGTAGTTTTTAAATGAAGATATTTCTTTTTCCACCATAGGCCTCAAAGCACTCCAAATATGCACTTCCAGATTCTACAAAAAGAGTGTTTCAGAACTGCTCAATCAAAAGGAAGGTTCCAGTCTGAGACAAATACACACATCAAAAGGTAGTTTCTCAGAATGCTTCTGTGTAGTTTTTATGTGAAGATATTTTCCTTTCCACCATAGGCCACAAAT
This sequence comes from Homo sapiens, assembly GCF_000001405.40. NCBI lineage: Eukaryota > Metazoa > Chordata > Mammalia > Primates > Hominidae > Homo > Homo sapiens. The sequence continues at coordinate 10,460,914 of NC_000024.10, read as the reverse complement.
GGCTCTAAATACCCACTTACATTTTCCACAAAAAGAGAGTTTCAAAACTGCTCTACCAAAGGTAAGTTTAACGCTGTGAGTTAAGAACATCACAAAGAAGTTTCTCAGAATGCTTCTGTGTAGTTCTTACGTAAAGATATTCCTTTTACACAATAGGCAGAAAAGTGCTCCAAATATCCACTTGAAGATTCTACAGAAACCGTGTTTCAAAACTGCCGAATCAAAAGAAAGGTTCAACTCTGTGAGATGAATGCACACATAACAAAGGAGTTTCTCAGAATGCTTCTGTGTAGCTTTTATATGAAGACATTTAGTTTTCCACAACAGGCCTCAAAGCTCTCTCCATATCCACTTGCAGATTCTACCGAAAGAGTGCTTCCAAACTGCTCAATCAAAAGAGACATTCAAATCTGTGAGGTGAATGCAGACATCGTAAAGAAGTTTCTCAGAATGCTTCTGTGTATTTTTTGTGTGAAGTTATTCGTTTTTGCACCATAGGCCTCCAAGCGTTCTAAATATCCACTTCTAGATTCTACAAAAAGAGAGTTTCAAAACTACTCAAACAAAAGGTTCAATTCTGTGAGTTGAAAGCAAACATCACAAAGAAGTTTCTCAGAATGCGTCTGTGTAGTTTTGATGTGAAGATATTTCCTTTTCACAGTAGAATGCAAAGGGCTCCAAATATCCACTTGGAGATTCTACAAAAAGAGTTTCAAAACCGCTCTGTCAAATGATAGGTTGAACTCCCGGAGGTGAATACACACATCACAAAGAGGTTTCTCAGCATGCTTCTGTGTAGTTTTTATGTAAACATATTTCCGTTTCTATCATAGGCCTCAAGTGCTCCAAATATTCACTTGTACATTCTACCAAACGAGTATTTCAAAACTGCTCAATCAAATGGAAGGTTCAAAACCGTGACATGAATGCCCACATCACAAAGTAGTTTCTCAGAATGCTTCTGTGTAGTTTTTATGTGAAGATATTTCCTTTTCCACAACAGCGTGCAAAACGCTTCAAATATGCCCTTAGAGATTCCACAAAAAGAGTGTTTCCAAACTACTCAAATCAAAAAATGATTTCAACTCTGTGAGATGAATGCACACATCACAAACTAGTTTCTCAGAATGTTTCTGCCTGGTTCTCATGCGAAGATAGTTCCTTTTTCACCATAGGCCGCAATGTACTCCAAATATCCACCTGCAGATTCTACAAAAGTGAGTTTCAAAACTGCTCTATCAAAAGATCAGTTCGTCTCTGTGAGTTGAATGCATACATCAAAAAGAAGCTTCTCAAAATGCTTCTGTGTGGTTTTTCGGTGAAGATAGTTCTTTTTCTACCATAGGTCTCAAACCACTCCAAATATCCACTTGTAGATTCTATAAAAAGGAATGTTCAAAATTGCTCAATAAAAATAAAGTTTCAACACCGTGAGATGAGTGCACAAATCACAAAGGAGTTTCTCAAAATGCTTCTGGGTAGTTTTTCTGTGAAGATAGTTCCTTTTCTACCATGGGCCACAAAGGGCTCCAAATACCCACTTGCAGATTCTACAAAAAGAGAGTTTCACAACTGCTCTATCAAACAATATGTTCAACTTTGTGGGTTGAACACAAATATCACAAGAATTTTCTCCCAATGCTTCTGTGTAGTTTTTATGTGAAGACATTTCTTTTCCCTCCATAGTCCACAAAGTGCTCCAAATATCCACTTACATATTCTAGAAAAAGATTGCTTGGAAACTGCACAATGAAAAGAAAGGTTCAAATATATGAGATGAATGCACACATCACAAAGAAGTTTCTCAGAATCTCTCTGTGTAATTTTTATGTGAAGATATTTCCTTTCCCACCTTAGGTCTTAAAACGCTCCAAATATCCACTTGCAGATACTACAAGAAGATTGTTTCAAAACTGCACAAAAAAAGAAATGTTCAATTCTGTTTGATGAATGCACACATCACAAAGAAGTTTCTCAGAATGCTTCTCTGTAGTTTTTATGTGAAGATATTTCCTTTTCCACAATAGGCCTCAAAGGGCTCCAAATATCCACTTCCAGATTCTATGAAAAGAATATTTCCAAACTGCTCAATCATAGGAAATGTTCAACTCTGTGAGATGAATGCACACATCACAAGAAATTTCTCAGAATCCTTCAGTGTAGGTTTTATGAGAAGATAATTCCTTTTCCACAATAGTTCTCAAAGCACTCAAAATATCCACTTGCAGATTCTACAAAAGGAGTATTTCAAAACTGCTCAATCAAAAGAAAGGTTCAACTCTGTGAGATGAATGGACACATCACAAAGAAGTTTCTCAGAATGCTTCTGTGTAGTATTTTTGTGAAGATATTTCTTTTCCACCATAGACCGCCAGGGGACACAAATATCCACTTTCAGATTCTACAACAAGAGAGGTTCAAAACTACTCGATCAAGAGATGGTTTCAACTATGTGAGTTGAATGCACACATCACAAAGAACTATGTCGGAATTCTTCTGTGTAGTTTTTATGTGAAGATATTTCCTTTTCCACAATAGACGTCAAAGTGATCCAGATATCCACTTGCAGATTCCACAAAAAGAGTGTTTCAAAAGTGCACAACCAAAAGAAAGGTTCAACTAGGTGAGATGAATGCACACATCAGAAGGAAGTTTCTCAGAATGCTTCTGCATAGCTTTTAAGGGAAGATACTTCCTTTTCCAACATAGGCCTCAAAGCACTCCAAATATCCTCCTGGAGATACCACAAAAAGAGTGTTTGCAAACTGCTCAATCAAAAGAAAGATTTAACTCTGTGAGATGAATCCACACATGACAAAGAAGTTTCTCAGAATGCTTCTGTGTAGTTTTTATGTGAAGATATTTCCTTTTCCACAATAAGACCCAAAAGGCTCCAAATATTCACTTGCAGATTCTAAAAAAAACAGTGTTTCAAAACTGCTCAATCAAAAGATAGTTCAACTCTGTGAGAAGAATGCTCACATCACTGAGAAGTTTCTCAGAATGCTTCTGTGTAGTTTTTATATGAAGATATTTCCTTTCCCACCGTAGGCCACAAAAGGCTCCAAATATCCACTTGCAGATACTATGAAAAGAGAGTTTCAAAACTGCTCATTCAAAAGATAGGTTCAACTACTGTGGTTTGAATGCACACAGCACAAAGAAGTTTCACAGAATGTGTTCTGTGTAGTTTTTATGTGAAATATTTCCTTTTCCACCATAGGCTTCAAAGTGCTCCAAATATTCACTTGTAAATTATAAAAACAGAATTTTTCAAAAATGCTCAGTTAAAAGAATGTTTCAACACTGTGAGATGAATGCACACATCACAGAAAGTTTCTGGGAATGCTTCTGTGTAGTTTTTATGTGAAGATGTTTCCTTTTCCACCATAGGCTGCAAAGGGCTCCAAATATCCACTTGCAGATTCTACAAAAAGAGAGTTTCAAAAGTGCTCTATCAAAAGATAGGTTCAACTATGTGATATGAATGCACACATCACAAAGTAGTTTCTCAGAATGCTTTCCGTGTAGTTTTTATGTAAAGATATTTCCTTTTCCACCATAGGCCTCAAAGCACTCCAAATATCCACTTGCAGATTCTACAAAAAGAGATTTTCCAAACTAGTCAATCAAAAGAAAGGTTCAACTCTGTCAGTTGAATGCACATATCACAAACAAGTTTCTCGGAATGCGTCTGTGTAGTTTTTATGTGAAGATATTTCCTTCTCCACAACAGGCCTCAAAGTGCTCCGAATATCCACTTGCAGATTTTACTAAAGAGTGTTTCCAAACTGCTCAATCAAGAGGAAGTTTCAAGTCTGTGAGCTGAACGCACACATCACAAAGTAGTTTCTGAGAATGCTTCTGTGTAGTTTTTATGTGAAGATGTTTTCTTTTCCACCATAGGCTGCAAAGGGCTCCAAATATCCACTTGCAGATTCTACAAAAAGAGAGTTTCAAAAGTGCTCTATCAAAAGATAGGTTCAACTATGTGATATGAATGCACACATCACAAAGTAGTTTCTCAGAATGCTTCTGTGTAGTTTTTATGTAAAGATATTTCCTTTTCCACCATAGGCCTCAAAGCACTCCAAATATCCACTTGCAGATTCTACAAAAAGAGATTTTCAAAACTATTTAATCAAAAGAAAGGTTCAAATCTGTCAGTTGAAGGTACATATCACAAACAAGTTTATTGGAATGCTTCTGTGTAGTTTTTATGTGAAGATATTTCCTTTTCCACAACAGGCCTCAAGGTGCTCCAAATATCCACTTGCAGATTTCACTAAAAGTGTGTTTCCAAGCTGCTCAATCAAGAGGAAGTTTCAAGTCTGTGAGGTGAATGCACACATTACAAAGAAGTTACTGAGAATGCTTCTGTGTAGTTTTTATGTGAAGATATTTCCTTTTCCACCGCAGGCCTCAAAGCGCTGCAAATATCCACTTGCAGATTCTACAAAAAGAGAGTTTCAAAACTGCTGTATCAAAAGATAGGGTCAACTCTGCGAGTTGAATAAGCACATCACAAATAAGTTTCTGGGAACGCTTCTGTATAGTTTTATGTGAATATATTTCCTTTTCCACCATATGCCTCAAAGCACTCCAAATATCCACTTGCACATTATAGAAACATAGTCTTTCAAAACTTGTCAATCAAAGAAAGGTTCAACTCCGTGAGATGAGTGCACACATCACAGAGAAGTTTCTCGGAATGTTTCTGTGTAGTTTTTATGTGAAGATATTGCCTTTTCCACAATAGGCCTCAAAGCGTTCCAAATATCCAATTGCAGATTCCACAAAAAAAGTTTTTTAAAACTGCTCAATCAAATGATAGATTAAACTCTGTGAGATTAGTGCACACATGTCAAAAAAGTTTCTCAGAATGCTTCTGTGTACTTTTTAGGGGAAGATATTTCCTTTTCCACCATCGGCCACAAAGGACTCCAAATAACCACATGCAGATTCTAGTAACACAGAGTTTCAAAACTGCTCTATCAAAAGATAAGTTCAACTCTGAGAGTTTAGTGCAACCATCGTGAAGAAGTTTCTCAGAATGCTTCTGAGTAGTGTTTATGTGAAGATATTTCCTTTTCCACCATAGGCCTGAAAGCCCTCCAAATATCCACTTGCAGATCCTACAAAAAGAAAGTTTCGAAATGCTCTCTCAAACGATAGTTTCGACTCTGTGGTATGAATACACACATCACAAAGAAGTTTCTCAGAATGCTTCTGTGTAGTTTTTAAATGAAGATATTTCTTTTTCCACCATAGGCCTCAAAGCACTCCAAATATGCACTTCCAGATTCTACAAAAAGAGTGTTTCAGAACTGCTCAATCAAAAGGAAGGTTCCAGTCTGAGACAAATACACACATCAAAAGGTAGTTTCTCAGAATGCTTCTGTGTAGTTTTTATGTGAAGATATTTTCCTTTCCACCATAGGCCACAAATGGCTCTAAATACCCACTTACATTTTCCACAAAAAGAGAGTTTCAAAACTGCTCTACCAAAGGTAAGTTTAACGCTGTGAGTTAAGAACATCACAAAGAAGTTTCTCAGAATGCTTCTGTGTAGTTCTTACGTAAAGATATTTCCTTTTACACAATAGGCAGAAAAGTGCTCCAAATATCCACTTGAAGATTCTACAAAAACCGTGTTTCAAAACTGCCGAATCAAAAGAAAGGTTCAACTCTGTGAGATGAATGCACACATAACAAAGGAGTTTCTCAGAATGCTTCTGTGTAGCTTTTATATGAAGACATTTAGTTTTCCACAACAGGCCTCAAAGCTCTCTCCATATCCACTTGCAGATTCTACCGAAAGAGTGCTTCCAAACTGCTCAATCAAAAGAGACATTCAAATCTGTGAGGTGAATGCAGACATCGTAAAGAAGTTTCTCAGAATGCTTCTGTGTATTTTTTGTGTGAAGTTATTCGTTTTTGCACCATAGGCCTCCAAGCGTTCTAAATATCCACTTCTAGATTCTACAAAAAGAGAGTTTCAAAACTACTCAAACAAAAGGTTCAATTCTGTGAGTTGAAAGCAAACATCACAAAGAAGTTTCTCAGAATGCGTCTGTGTAGTTTTGATGTGAAGATATTTCCTTTTCACAGTAGAATGCAAAGGGCTCCAAATATCCACTTGGAGATTCTACAAAAAGAGTTTCAAAACCGCTCTGTCAAATGATAGGTTGAACTCCCGGAGGTGAATACACACATCACAAAGAGGTTTCTCAGCATGCTTCTGTGTAGTTTTTATGTAAACATATTTCCGTTTCTATCATAGGCCTCAAAGTGCTCCAAATATTCACTTGTACATTCTACCAAACGAGTATTTCAAAACTGCTCAATCAAACGGAAGGTTCAAAACCGTGACATGAATGCCCACATCACAAAGTAGTTTCTCAGAATGCTTCTGTGTAGTTTTTATGTGAAGATATTTCCTTTTCCACAACAGCGTGCAAAACGCTTCAAATATGCCCTTAGAGATTCCACAAAAAGAGTGTTTCCAAACTACTCAAATCAAAAAATGATTTCAACTCTGTGAGATGAATGCACACATCACAAACTAGTTTCTCAGAATGTTTCTGCCTGGTTCTCATGCGAAGATAGTTCCTTTTTCACCATAGGCCGCAATGTACTCCAAATATCCACCTGCAGATTCTACAAAAGTGAGTTTCAAAACTGCTCTATCAAAAGATCAGTTCGTCTCTGTGAGTTGAATGCATACATCAAAAAGAAGCTTCTCAAAATGCTTCTGTGTGGTTTTTCGGTGAAGATAGTTCTTTTTCTACCATAGGTCTCAAACCACTCCAAATATCCACTTGTAGATTCTATAAAAAGGAATGTTCAAAATTGCTCAATAAAAATAAAGTTTCAACACCGTGAGATGAGTGCACAAATCACAAAGAAGTTTCTCAAAATGCTTCTGGGTAGTTTTTCTGTGAAGATAGTTCCTTTTCTACCATGGGCCACAAAGGGCTCCAAATACCCACTTGCAGATTCTACAAAAAGAGAGTTTCACAACTGCTCTATCAAACAATATGTTCAACTTTGTGGGTTGAACACAAATATCACAAGAATTTTCTCCCAATGCTTCTGTGTAGTTTTTATGTGAAGACATTTCTTTTCCCTCCATAGTCCACAAAGTGCTCCAAATATCCACTTACATATTCTAGAAAAAGATTGCTTGGAAACTGCACAATGAAAAGAAAGGTTCAAATATATGAGATGAATGCACACATCACAAAGAAGTTTCTCAGAATCTCTCTGTGTAATTTTTATGTGAAGATATTTCCTTTCCCACCTTAGGTCTTAAAACGCTCCAAATATCCACTTGCAGATACTACAAGAAGATTGTTTCAAAACTGCACAAAAAAAGAAATGTTCAATTCTGTTTGATGAATGCACACATCACAAAGAAGTTTCTCAGAATGCTTCTCTGTAGTTTTTATGTGAAGATATTTCCTTTTCCACAATAGGCCTCAAAGGGCTCCAAATATCCACTTCCAGATTCTATGAAAAGAATATTTCCAAACTGCTCAATCATAGGAAATGTTCAACTCTGTGAGATGAATGCACACATCACAAGAAATTTCTCAGAATCCTTCAGTGTAGGTTTTATGAGAAGATAATTCCTTTTCCACAATAGTTCTCAAAGCACTCAAAATATCCACTTGCAGATTCTACAAAAGGAGTATTTCAAAACTGCTCAATCAAAAGAAAGGTTCAACTCTGTGGGATGAATGGACACATCACAAAGAAGTTTCTCAGAATGCTTCTGTGTAGTATTTTTGTGAAGATATTTCTTTTCCACCATAGACCGCCAGGGGACACAAATATCCACTTTCAGATTCTACAACAAGAGAGGTTCAAAACTACTCGATCAAGAGATGGTTTCAACTATGTGAGTTGAATGCACACATCACAAAGAACTATGTCGGAATTCTTCTGTGTAGTTTTTATGTGAAGATATTTCCTTTTCCACAATAGACGTCAAAGTGATCCAGATATCCACTTGCAGATTCCACAAAAAGAGTGTTTCAAAAGTGCACAACCAAAAGAAAGGTTCAACTAGGTGAGATGAATGCACACATCAGAAGGAAGTTTCTCAGAATGCTTCTGCATAGCTTTTAAGGGAAGATACTTCCTTTTCCAACATAGGCCTCAAAGCACTCCAAATATCCTCCTGGAGATACCACAAAAAGAGTGTTTGCAAACTGCTCAATCAAAAGAAAGATTTAACTCTGTGAGATGAATCCACACATGACAAAGAAGTTTCTCAGAATGCTTCTGTGTAGTTTTTATGTGAAGATATTTCCTTTTCCACAATAAGACCCAAAAGGCTCCAAATATTCACTTGCAGATTCTAAAAAAAACAGTGTTTCAAAACTGCTCAATCAAAAGATAGTTCAACTCTGTGAGAAGAATGCTCACATCACTGAGAAGTTTCTCAGAATGCTTCTGTGTAGTTTTTATATGAAGATATTTCCTTTCCCACCGTAGGCCACAAAAGGCTCCAAATATCCACTTGCAGATACTATGAAAAGAGAGTTTCAAAACTGCTCATTCAAAAGATAGGTTCAACTCTGTGGTTTGAATGCACACAGCACAAAGAAGTTTCACAGAATGTGTCTGTGTAGTTTTTATGTGCGGATGTTTCCTTTTCCACCATATGCCTAAATATTTCCCAATTTCCACTTGCAGATTCTACAAGAAGAGTGTTTCAAAACTGCTGTATCAAATAAAGTTGAACTCTGTGAGGTGAATGCACACAGCACAAAATGGTTTCTCAGAATGCTTCCTTGTTTTTATATGAAGATGTTTCCTTTTCAACAATAGGCCTCAAAGTGCTTCAAATGTCCACTTGCAGATTCTACAAAAAGAGTGTTTCAAAACTGCTCAATCAAAAGAAAGGTTCGACTCTGGGAAATTAATGCACACATCACAAAGAAGTTTCTCAGCTTCTGTGTAGTTTTCATGTGAAGTTATTTCCTTTTCCACAATAGGCCGCAAAGGGCTCCAAATATCAACTTACAGATTCTAGGAAAAGAGAGTTTCAAAACTGCTCTACGAAAAGATAGGTTGAACTCTGTGAGATGAATGCACACATCACAAAGAAGTTTCTCAGAATGCATCTGTGTAGTTTTTACGGGAAGACATTTCCTTTTCCACCATCTTCCACAAAGGTCTCCAAGTAACCACTTGCAGATTCTACAGAAAGACACTTTAAAAACTGCTCTATCAAAAGATCAGTTCAAGTCTGTGGTTTGAATGCACACATCACAAAGAATTTTCTCAGAATGCTTCTGTGTAGTTTTCATATGAAGATATTTCCTTTTCCACCATAGGCCTCAAAGCACTCCAAATATCCACTTGCAGATTCTACAAAAAGAGATTTTCAAAACTAGTCAATCAAAAGAAAGGTTCAACTCTGTCAGTTGAATGCACATATCACAAACAAGTTTCTCGGAATGCGTCTGTGTAGTTTTTATGTGAAGATATTTCCTTCTCCACAACAGGCCTCAAAGTGCTCCGAATATCCACTTGCAGATTTTACTAAAGAGTGTTTCCAAACTGCTCAATCAAGAGGAAGTTTCAAGTCTGTGAGCTGAACGCACACATCACAAAGTAGTTTCTGAGAATGCTTCTGTGTAGTTTTTATGTGAAGATGTTTCCTTTTCCACCATAGGCTGCAAAGGGCTCCAAATATCCACTTGCAGATTCTACAAAAAGAGAGTTTCAAAAGTGCTCTATCAAAAGATAGGTTCAACTATGTGATATGAATGCACACATCACAAAGTAGTTTCTCAGAATGCTTCTGTGTAGTTTTTATGTAAAGATATTTCCTTTTCCACCATAGGCCTCAAAGCACTCCAAATATCCACTTGCAGATTCTACAAAAAGAGATTTTCAAAACTATTTAATCAAAAGAAAGGTTCAAATCTGTCAGTTGAAGGTACATATCACAAACAAGTTTATTGGAATGCTTCTGTGTAGTTTTTATGTGAAGATATTTCCTTTTCCACAACAGGCCTCAAGGTGCTCCAAATATCCACTTGCAGATTTCACTAAAAGTGTGTTTCCAAGCTGCTCAATCAAGAGGAAGTTTCAAGTCTGTGAGGTGAATGCACACATTACAAAGAAGTTACTGAGAATGCTTCTGTGTAGTTTTTATGTGAAGATATTTCCTTTTCCACCGCAGGCCTCAAAGCGCTGCAAATATCCACTTGCAGATTCTACAAAAAGAGAGTTTCAAAACTGCTGTATCAAAAGATAGGGTCAACTCTGCGAGTTGAATAAACACATCACAAATAAGTTTCTGGGAACGCTTCTGTATAGTTTTATGTGAATATATTTCCTTTTCCACCATATGCCTCAAAGCACTCCAAATATCCACTTGCACATTATAGAAACATAGTCTTTCAAAACTTGTCAATCAAAGAAAGGTTCAACTCCGTGAGATGAGTGCACACATCACAGAGAAGTTTCTCGGAATGTTTCTGTGTAGTTTTTATGTGAAGATATTGCCTTTTCCACAATAGGCCTCAAAGCGTTCCAAATATCCAATTGCAGATTCCACAAAAAAAGTTTTTTAAAACTGCTCAATCAAATGATAGATTAAACTCTGTGAGATTAGTGCACACATGTCAAAAAAGTTTCTCAGAATGCTTCTGTGTACTTTTTAGGGGAAGATATTTCCTTTTCCACCATCGGCCACAAAGGACTCCAAATAACCACATGCAGATTCTAGTAACACAGAGTTTCAAAACTGCTCTATCAAAAGATAAGTTCAACTCTGAGAGTTTAGTGCAACCATCGTGAAGAAGTTTCTCAGAATGCTTCTGAGTAGTGTTTATGTGAAGATATTTCCTTTTCCACCATAGGCCTGAAAGCCCTCCAAATATCCACTTGCAGATCCTACAAAAAGAAAGTTTCGAAATGCTCTCTCAAACGATAGTTTCGACTCTGTGGTATGAATACACACACACATCACAAAGAAGTTTCTCAGAATGCTTCTGTGTAGTTTTTAAATGAAGATATTTCTTTTTCCACCATAGGCCTCAAAGCACTCCAAATATGCACTTCCAGATTCTACAAAAAGAGTGTTTCAGAACTGCTCAATCAAAAGGAAGGTTCCAGTCTGAGACAAATACACACATCAAAAGGTAGTTTCTCAGAATGCTTCTGTGTAGTTTTTATGTGAAGATATTTTCCTTTCCACCATAGGCCACAAATGGCTCTAAATACCCACTTACATTTTCCACAAAAAGAGAGTTTCAAAACTGCTCTACCAAAGGTAAGTTTAACGCTGTGAGTTAAGAACATCACAAAGAAGTTTCTCAGAATGCTTCTGTGTAGTTCTTACGTAAAGATATTTCCTTTTACACAATAGGCAGAAAAGTGCTCCAAATATCCACTTGAAGATTCTACAGAAACCGTGTTTCAAAACTGCCGAATCAAAAGAAAGGTTCAACTCTGTGAGATGAATGCACACATAACAAAGGAGTTTCTCAGAATGCTTCTGTGTAGCTTTTATATGAAGACATTTAGTTTTCCACAACAGGCCTCAAAGCTCTCTCCATATCCACTTGCAGATTCTACCGAAAGAGTGCTTCCAAACTGCTCAATCAAAAGAGACATTCAAATCTGTGAGGTGAATGCAGACATCGTAAAGAAGTTTCTCAGAATGCTTCTGTGTATTTTTTGTGTGAAGTTATTCGTTTTTGCACCATAGGCCTCCAAGCGTTCTAAATATCCACTTCTAGATTCTACAAAAAGAGAGTTTCAAAACTACTCAAACAAAAGGTTCAATTCTGTGAGTTGAAAGCAAACATCACAAAGAAGTTTCTCAGAATGCGTCTGTGTAGTTTTTATGTGAAGATATTTCCTTTTCACAGTAGAATGCAAAGGGCTCCAAATATCCACTTGGAGATTCTACAAAAAGAGTTTCAAAACCGCTCTGTCAAATGATAGGTTGAACTCCCGGAGGTGAATACACACATCACAAAGAGGTTTCTCAGCATGCTTCTGTGTAGTTTTTATGTAAACATATTTCCGTTTCTATCATAGGCCTCAAAGTGCTCCAAATATTCACTTGTACATTCTACCAAACGAGTATTTCAAAACTGCTCAATCAAATGGAAGGTTCAAAACCGTGACATGAATGCCCACATCACAAAGTAGTTTCTCAGAATGCTTCTGTGTAGTTTTTATGTGAAGATATTTCCTTTTCCACAACAGCGTGCAAAACGCTTCAAATATGCCCTTAGAGATTCCACAAAAAGAGTGTTTCCAAACTACTCAAATCAAAAAATGATTTCAACTCTGTGAGATGAATGCACACATCACAAACTAGTTTCTCAGAATGTTTCTGCCTGGTTCTCATGCGAAGATAGTTCCTTTTTCACCATAGGCCGCAATGTACTCCAAATATCCACCTGCAGATTCTACAAAAGTGAGTTTCAAAACTGCTCTATCAAAAGATCAGTTCGTCTCTGTGAGTTGAATGCATACATCAAAAAGAAGCTTCTCAAAATGCTTCTGTGTGGTTTTTCGGTGAAGATAGTTCTTTTTCTACCATAGGTCTCAAACCACTCCAAATATCCACTTGTAGATTCTATAAAAAGGAATGTTCAAAATTGCTCAATAAAAATAAAGTTTCAACACCGTGAGATGAGTGCACAAATCACAAAGGAGTTTCTCAAAATGCTTCTGGGTAGTTTTTCTGTGAAGATAGTTCCTTTTCTACCATGGGCCACAAAGGGCTCCAAATACCCACTTGCAGATTCTACAAAAAGAGAGTTTCACAACTGCTCTATCAAACAATATGTTCAACTTTGTGGGTTGAACACAAATATCACAAGAATTTTCTCCCAATGCTTCTGTGTAGTTTTTATGTGAAGACATTTCTTTTCCCTCCATAGTCCACAAAGTGCTCCAAATATCCACTTACATATTCTAGAAAAAGATTGCTTGGAAACTGCACAATGAAAAGAAAGGTTCAAATATATGAGATGAATGCACACATCACAAAGAAGTTTCTCAGAATCTCTCTGTGTAATTTTTATGTGAAGATATTTCCTTTCCCACCTTAGGTCTTAAAACGCTCCAAATATCCACTTGCAGATACTACAAGAAGATTGTTTCAAAACTGCACAAAAAAAGAAATGTTCAATTCTGTTTGATGAATGCACACATCACAAAGAAGTTTCTCAGAATGCTTCTCTGTAGTTTTTATGTGAAGATATTTCCTTTTCCACAATAGGCCTCAAAGGGCTCCAAATATCCACTTCCAGATTCTATGAAAAGAATATTTCCAAACTGCTCAATCATAGGAAATGTTCAACTCTGTGAGATGAATGCACACATCACAAGAAATTTCTCAGAATCCTTCAGTGTAGGTTTTATGAGAAGATAATTCCTTTTCCACAATAGTTCTCAAAGCACTCAAAATATCCACTTGCAGATTCTACAAAAGGAGTATTTCAAAACTGCTCAATCAAAAGAAAGGTTCAACTCTGTGAGATGAATGGACACATCACAAAGAAGTTTCTCAGAATGCTTCTGTGTAGTATTTTTGTGAAGATATTTCTTTTCCACCATAGACCGCCAGGGGACACAAATATCCACTTTCAGATTCTACAACAAGAGAGGTTCAAAACTACTCGATCAAGAGATGGTTTCAACTATGTGAGTTGAATGCACACATCACAAAGAACTATGTCGGAATTCTTCTGTGTAGTTTTTATGTGAAGATATTTCCTTTTCCACAATAGACGTCAAAGTGATCCAGATATCCACTTGCAGATTCCACAAAAAGAGTGTTTCAAAAGTGCACAACCAAAAGAAAGGTTCAACTAGGTGAGATGAATGCACACATCAGAAGGAAGTTTCTCAGAATGCTTCTGCATAGCTTTTAAGGGAAGATACTTCCTTTTCCAACATAGGCCTCAAAGCACTCCAAATATCCTCCTGGAGATACCACAAAAAGAGTGTTTGCAAACTGCTCAATCAAAAGAAAGATTTAACTCTGTGAGATGAATCCACACATGACAAAGAAGTTTCTCAGAATGCTTCTGTGTAGTTTTTATGTGAAGATATTTCCTTTTCCACAATAAGACCCAAAAGGCTCCAAATATTCACTTGCAGATTCTAAAAAAAACAGTGTTTCAAAACTGCTCAATCAAAAGATAGTTCAACTCTGTGAGAAGAATGCTCACATCACTGAGAAGTTTCTCAGAATGCTTCTGTGTAGTTTTTATATGAAGATATTTCCTTTCCCACCGTAGGCCACAAAAGGCTCCAAATATCCACTTGCAGATACTATGAAAAGAGAGTTTCAAAAGTGCTCATTCAAAAGATAGGTTCAACTCTGTGGTTTGAATGCACACAGCACAAAGAAGTTTCACAGAATGTGTCTGTGTAGTTTTTATGTGCGGATGTTTCCTTTTCCACCATATGCCTAAATATTTCCCAATTTCCACTTGCAGATTCCACAAGAAGAGTGTTTCAAAACTGCTGTATCAAATAAAGTTGAACTCTGTGAGGTGAATGCACACAGCACAAAATGGTTTCTCAGAATGCTTCCTTGTTGTTTTTATATGAAGATGTTTCCTTTTCAACAATAGGCCTCAAAGTGCTTCAAATGTCCACTTGCAGATTCTACAAAAAGAGTGTTTCAAAACTGCTCAATCAAAAGAAAGGTTCGACTCTGGGAAATTAATGCACACATCACAAAGAAGTTTCTCAGCTTCTGTGTAGTTTTCATGTGAAGTTATTTCCTTTTCCACAATAGGCCGCAAAGGGCTCCAAATATCAACTTACAGATTCTAGGAAAAGAGAGTTTCAAAACTGCTCTACGAAAAGATAGGTTGAACTCTGTGAGATGAATGCACACATCACAAAGAAGTTTCTCAGAATGCATCTGTGTAGTTTTTACGGGAAGATATTTCCTTTTCCACCATCTTCCACAAAGGTCTCCAAGTAACCACTTGCAGATTCTACAGAAAGACACTTTAAAAACTGCTCTATCAAAAGATCAGTTCAAGTCTGTGGTTTGAATGCACACATCACAAAGAATTTTCTCAGAATGCTTCTGTGTAGTTTTCATATGAAGATATTTCCTTTTCCACCATAGGCCTCAAAGCACTCCAAATATCCACTTGCAGATTCTACAAAAAGAGATTTTCAAAACTAGTCAATCAAAAGAAAGGTTCAACTCTGTCAGTTGAATGCACATATCACAAACAAGTTTCTCGGAATGCGTCTGTGTAGTTTTTATGTGAAGATATTTCCTTCTCCACAACAGGCCTCAAAGTGCTCCGAATATCCACTTGCAGATTTTACTAAAGAGTGTTTCCAAACTGCTCAATCAAGAGGAAGTTTCAAGTCTGTGAGCTGAACGCACACATCACAAAGTAGTTTCTGAGAATGCTTCTGTGTAGTTTTTATGTGAAGATGTTTCCTTTTCCACCATAGGCTGCAAAGGGCTCCAAATATCCACTTGCAGATTCTACAAAAAGAGAGTTTCAAAAGTGCTCTATCAAAAGATAGGTTCAACTATGTGATATGAATGCACACATCACAAAGTAGTTTCTCAGAATGCTTCTGTGTAGTTTTTATGTAAAGATATTTCCTTTTCCACCATAGGCCTCAAAGCACTCCAAATATCCACTTGCAGATTCTACAAAAAGAGATTTTCAAAACTATTTAATCAAAAGAAAGGTTCAAATCTGTCAGTTGAAGGTACATATCACAAACAAGTTTATTGGAATGCTTCTGTGTAGTTTTTATGTGAAGATATTTCCTTTTCCACAACAGGCCTCAAGGTGCTCCAAATATCCACTTGCAGATTTCACTAAAAGTGTGTTTCCAAGCTGCTCAATCAAGAGGAAGTTTCAAGTCTGTGAGGTGAATGCACACATTACAAAGAAGTTACTGAGAATGCTTCTGTGTAGTTTTTATGTGAAGATATTTCCTTTTCCACCGCAGGCCTCAAAGCGCTGCAAATATCCACTTGCAGATTCTACAAAAAGAGAGTTTCAAAACTGCTGTATCAAAAGATAGGGTCAACTCTGCGAGTTGAATAAACACATCACAAATAAGTTTCTGGGAACGCTTCTGTATAGTTTTATGTGAATATATTTCCTTTTCCACCATATGCCTCAAAGCACTCCAAATATCCACTTGCACATTATAGAAACATAGTCTTTCAAAACTTGTCAATCAAAGAAAGGTTCAACTCCGTGAGATGAGTGCACACATCACAGAGAAGTTTCTCGGAATGTTTCTGTGTAGTTTTTATGTGAAGATATTGCCTTTTCCACAATAGGCCTCAAAGCGTTCCAAATATCCAATTGCAGATTCCACAAAAAAAGTTTTTTAAAACTGCTCAATCAAATGATAGATTAAACTCTGTGAGATTAGTGCACACATGTCAAAAAAGTTTCTCAGAATGCTTCTGTGTACTTTTTAGGGGAAGATATTTCCTTTTCCACCATCGGCCACAAAGGACTCCAAATAACCACATGCAGATTCTAGTAACACAGAGTTTCAAAACTGCTCTATCAAAAGATAAGTTCAACTCTGAGAGTTTAGTGCAACCATCGTGAAGAAGTTTCTCAGAATGCTTCTGAGTAGTGTTTATGTGAAGATATTTCCTTTTCCACCATAGGCCTGAAAGCCCTCCAAATATCCACTTGCAGATCCTACAAAAAGAAAGTTTCGAAATGCTCTCTCAAACGATAGTTTCGACTCTGTGGTATGAATACACACATCACAAAGAAGTTTCTCAGAATGCTTCTGTGTAGTTTTTAAATGAAGATATTTCTTTTTCCACCATAGGCCTCAAAGCACTCCAAATATGCACTTCCAGATTCTACAAAAAGAGTGTTTCAGAACTGCTCAATCAAAAGGAAGGTTCCAGTCTGAGACAAATACACACATCAAAAGGTAGTTTCTCAGAATGCTTCTGTGTAGTTTTTATGTGAAGATATTTTCCTTTCCACCATAGGCCACAAATGGCTCTAAATACCCACTTACATTTTCCACAAAAAGAGAGTTTCAAAACTGCTCTACCAAAGGTAAGTTTAACGCTGTGAGTTAAGAACATCACAAAGAAGTTTCTCAGAATGCTTCTGTGTAGTTCTTACGTAAAGATATTTCCTTTTACACAATAGGCAGAAAAGTGCTCCAAATATCCACTTGAAGATTCTACAGAAACCGTGTTTCAAAACTGCCGAATCAAAAGAAAGGTTCAACTCTGTGAGATGAATGCACACATAACAAAGGAGTTTCTCAGAATGCTTCTGTGTAGCTTTTATATGAAGACATTTAGTTTTCCACAACAGGCCTCAAAGCTCTCTCCATATCCACTTGCAGATTCTACCGAAAGAGTGCTTCCAAACTGCTCAATCAAAAGAGACATTCAAATCTGTGAGGTGAATGCAGACATCGTAAAGAAGTTTCTCAGAATGCTTCTGTGTATTTTTTGTGTGAAGTTATTCGTTTTTGCACCATAGGCCTCCAAGCGTTCTAAATATCCACTTCTAGATTCTACAAAAAGAGAGTTTCAAAACTACTCAAACAAAAGGTTCAATTCTGTGAGTTGAAAGCAAACATCACAAAGAAGTTTCTCAGAATGCGTCTGTGTAGTTTTGATGTGAAGATATTTCCTTTTCACAGTAGAATGCAAAGGGCTCCAAATATCCACTTGGAGATTCTACAAAAAGAGTTTCAAAACCGCTCTGTCAAATGATAGGTTGAACTCCCGGAGGTGAATACACACATCACAAAGAGGTTTCTCAGCATGCTTCTGTGTAGTTTTTATGTAAACATATTTCCGTTTCTATCATAGGCCTCAAAGTGCTCCAAATATTCACTTGTACATTCTACCAAACGAGTATTTCAAAACTGCTCAATCAAATGGAAGGTTCAAAACCGTGACATGAATGCCCACATCACAAAGTAGTTTCTCAGAATGCTTCTGTGTAGTTTTTATGTGAAGATATTTCCTTTTCCACAACAGCGTGCAAAACGCTTCAAATATGCCCTTAGAGATTCCACAAAAAGAGTGTTTCCAAACTACTCAAATCAAAAAATGATTTCAACTCTGTGAGATGAATGCACACATCACAAACTAGTTTCTCAGAATGTTTCTGCCTGGTTCTCATGCGAAGATAGTTCCTTTTTCACCATAGGCCGCAATGTACTCCAAATATCCACCTGCAGATTCTACAAAAGTGAGTTTCAAAACTGCTCTATCAAAAGATCAGTTCGTCTCTGTGAGTTGAATGCATACATCAAAAAGAAGCTTCTCAAAATGCTTCTGTGTGGTTTTTCGGTGAAGATAGTTCTTTTTCTACCATAGGTCTCAAACCACTCCAAATATCCACTTGTAGATTCTATAAAAAGGAATGTTCAAAATTGCTCAATAAAAATAAAGTTTCAACACCGTGAGATGAGTGCACAAATCACAAAGGAGTTTCTCAAAATGCTTCTGGGTAGTTTTTCTGTGAAGATAGTTCCTTTTCTACCATGGGCCACAAAGGGCTCCAAATACCCACTTGCAGATTCTACAAAAAGAGAGTTTCACAACTGCTCTATCAAACAATATGTTCAACTTTGTGGGTTGAACACAAATATCACAAGAATTTTCTCCCAATGCTTCTGTGTAGTTTTTATGTGAAGACATTTCTTTTCCCTCCATAGTCCACAAAGTGCTCCAAATATCCACTTACATATTCTAGAAAAAGATTGCTTGGAAACTGCACAATGAAAAGAAAGGTTCAAATATATGAGATGAATGCACACATCACAAAGAAGTTTCTCAGAATCTCTCTGTGTAATTTTTATGTGAAGATATTTCCTTTCCCACCTTAGGTCTTAAAACGCTCCAAATATCCACTTGCAGATACTACAAGAAGATTGTTTCAAAACTGCACAAAAAAAGAAATGTTCAATTCTGTTTGATGAATGCACACATCACAAAGAAGTTTCTCAGAATGCTTCTCTGTAGTTTTTATGTGAAGATATTTCCTTTTCCACAATAGGCCTCAAAGGGCTCCAAGTATCCACTTCCAGATTCTATGAAAAGAATATTTCCAAACTGCTCAATCATAGGAAATGTTCAACTCTGTGAGATGAATGCACACATCACAAGAAATTTCTCAGAATCCTTCAGTGTAGGTTTTATGAGAAGATAATTCCTTTTCCACAATAGTTCTCAAAGCACTCAAAATATCCACTTGCAGATTCTACAAAAGGAGTATTTCAAAACTGCTCAATCAAAAGAAAGGTTCAACTCTGTGAGATGAATGGACACATCACAAAGAAGTTTCTCAGAATGCTTCTGTGTAGTATTTTTGTGAAGATATTTCTTTTCCACCATAGACCGCCAGGGGACACAAATATCCACTTTCAGATTCTACAACAAGAGAGGTTCAAAACTACTCGATCAAGAGATGGTTTCAACTATGTGAGTTGAATGCACACATCACAAAGAACTATGTCGGAATTCTTCTGTGTAGTTTTTATGTGAAGATATTTCCTTTTCCACAATAGACGTCAAAGTGATCCAGATATCCACTTGCAGATTCCACAAAAAGAGTGTTTCAAAAGTGCACAACCAAAAGAAAGGTTCAACTAGGTGAGATGAATGCACACATCAGAAGGAAGTTTCTCAGAATGCTTCTGCATAGCTTTTAAGGGAAGATACTTCCTTTTCCAACATAGGCCTCAAAGCACTCCAAATATCCTCCTGGAGATACCACAAAAAGAGTGTTTGCAAACTGCTCAATCAAAAGAAAGATTTAACTCTGTGAGATGAATCCACACATGACAAAGAAGTTTCTCAGAATGCTTCTGTGTAGTTTTTATGTGAAGATATTTCCTTTTCCACAATAAGACCCAAAAGGCTCCAAATATTCACTTGCAGATTCTAAAAAAAACAGTGTTTCAAAACTGCTCAATCAAAAGATAGTTCAACTCTGTGAGAAGAATGCTCACATCACTGAGAAGTTTCTCAGAATGCTTCTGTGTAGTTTTTATATGAAGATATTTCCTTTCCCACCGTAGGCCACAAAAGGCTCCAAATATCCACTTGCAGATACTATGAAAAGAGAGTTTCAAAACTGCTCATTCAAAAGATAGGTTCAACTCTGTGGTTTGAATGCACACAGCACAAAGAAGTTTCACAGAATGTGTCTGTGTAGTTTTTATGTGCGGATGTTTCCTTTTCCACCATATGCCTAAATATTTCCCAATTTCCACTTGCAGATTCTACAAGAAGAGTGTTTCAAAACTGCTGTATCAAATAAAGTTGAACTCTGTGAGGTGAATGCACACAGCACAAAATGGTTTCTCAGAATGCTTCCTTGTTGTTTTTATATGAAGATGTTTCCTTTTCAACAATAGGCCTCAAAGTGCTTCAAATGTCCACTTGCAGATTCTACAAAAAGAGTGTTTCAAAACTGCTCAATCAAAAGAAAGGTTCGACTCTGGGAAATTAATGCACACATCACAAAGAAGTTTCTCAGCTTCTGTGTAGTTTTCATGTGAAGTTATTTCCTTTTCCACAATAGGCCGCAAAGGGCTCCAAATATCAACTTACAGATTCTAGGAAAAGAGAGTTTCAAAACTGCTCTACGAAAAGATAGGTTGAACTCTGTGAGATGAATGCACACATCACAAAGAAGTTTCTCAGAATGCATCTGTGTAGTTTTTACGGGAAGACATTTCCTTTTCCACCATCTTCCACAAAGGTCTCCAAGTAACCACTTGCAGATTCTACAGAAAGACACTTTAAAAACTGCTCTATCAAAAGATCAGTTCAAGTCTGTGGTTTGAATGCACACATCACAAAGAATTTTCTCAGAATGCTTCTGTGTAGTTTTCATATGAAGATATTTCCTTTTCCACCATAGGCCTCAAAGCACTCCAAATATCCACTTGCAGATTCTACAAAAAGAGATTTTCAAAACTAGTCAATCAAAAGAAAGGTTCAACTCTGTCAGTTGAATGCACATATCACAAACAAGTTTCTCGGAATGCGTCTGTGTAGTTTTTATGTGAAGATATTTCCTTCTCCACAACAGGCCTCAAAGTGCTCCGAATATCCACTTGCAGATTTTACTAAAGAGTGTTTCCAAACTGCTCAATCAAGAGGAAGTTTCAAGTCTGTGAGCTGAACGCACACATCACAAAGTAGTTTCTGAGAATGCTTCTGTGTAGTTTTTATGTGAAGATGTTTTCTTTTCCACCATAGGCTGCAAAGGGCTCCAAATATCCACTTGCAGATTCTACAAAAAGAGAGTTTCAAAAGTGCTCTATCAAAAGATAGGTTCAACTATGTGATATGAATGCACACATCACAAAGTAGTTTCTCAGAATGCTTCTGTGTAGTTTTTATGTAAAGATATTTCCTTTTCCACCATAGGCCTCAAAGCACTCCAAATATCCACTTGCAGATTCTACAAAAAGAGATTTTCAAAACTATTTAATCAAAAGAAAGGTTCAAATCTGTCAGTTGAAGGTACATATCACAAACAAGTTTATTGGAATGCTTCTGTGTAGTTTTTATGTGAAGATATTTCCTTTTCCACAACAGGCCTCAAGGTGCTCCAAATATCCACTTGCAGATTTCACTAAAAGTGTGTTTCCAAGCTGCTCAATCAAGAGGAAGTTTCAAGTCTGTGAGGTGAATGCACACATTACAAAGAAGTTACTGAGAATGCTTCTGTGTAGTTTTTATGTGAAGATATTTCCTTTTCCACCGCAGGCCTCAAAGCGCTGCAAATATCCACTTGCAGATTCTACAAAAAGAGAGTTTCAAAACTGCTGTATCAAAAGATAGGGTCAACTCTGCGAGTTGAATAAGCACATCACAAATAAGTTTCTGGGAACGCTTCTGTATAGTTTTATGTGAATATATTTCCTTTTCCACCATATGCCTCAAAGCACTCCAAATATCCACTTGCACATTATAGAAACATAGTCTTTCAAAACTTGTCAATCAAAGAAAGGTTCAACTCCGTGAGATGAGTGCACACATCACAGAGAAGTTTCTCGGAATGTTTCTGTGTAGTTTTTATGTGAAGATATTGCCTTTTCCACAATAGGCCTCAAAGCGTTCCAAATATCCAATTGCAGATTCCACAAAAAAAGTTTTTTAAAACTGCTCAATCAAATGATAGATTAAACTCTGTGAGATTAGTGCACACATGTCAAAAAAGTTTCTCAGAATGCTTCTGTGTACTTTTTAGGGGAAGATATTTCCTTTTCCACCATCGGCCACAAAGGACTCCAAATAACCACATGCAGATTCTAGTAACACAGAGTTTCAAAACTGCTCTATCAAAAGATAAGTTCAACTGAGAGTTTAGTGCAACCATCGTGAAGAAGTTTCTCAGAATGCTTCTGAGTAGTGTTTATGTGAAGATATTTCCTTTTCCACCATAGGCCTGAAAGCCCTCCAAATATCCACTTGCAGATCCTACAAAAAGAAAGTTTCGAAATGCTCTCTCAAACGATAGTTTCGACTCTGTGGTATGAATACACACATCACAAAGAAGTTTCTCAGAATGCTTCTGTGTAGTTTTTAAATGAAGATATTTCTTTTTCCACCATAGGCCTCAAAGCACTCCAAATATGCACTTCCAGATTCTACAAAAAGAGTGTTTCAGAACTGCTCAATCAAAAGGAAGGTTCCAGTCTGAGACAAATACACACATCAAAAGGTAGTTTCTCAGAATGCTTCTGTGTAGTTTTTATGTGAAGATATTTTCCTTTCCACCATAGGCCACAAATGGCTCTAAATACCCACTTACATTTTCCACAAAAAGAGAGTTTCAAAACTGCTCTACCAAAGGTAAGTTTAACGCTGTGAGTTAAGAACATCACAAAGAAGTTTCTCAGAATGCTTCTGTGTAGTTCTTACGTAAAGATATTTCCTTTTACACAATAGGCAGAAAAGTGCTCCAAATATCCACTTGAAGATTCTACAGAAACCGTGTTTCAAAACTGCCGAATCAAAAGAAAGGTTCAACTCTGTGAGATGAATGCACACATAACAAAGGAGTTTCTCAGAATGCTTCTGTGTAGCTTTTATATGAAGACATTTAGTTTTCCACAACAGGCCTCAAAGCTCTCTCCATATCCACTTGCAGATTCTACCGAAAGAGTGCTTCCAAACTGCTCAATCAAAAGAGACATTCAAATCTGTGAGGTGAATGCAGACATCGTAAAGAAGTTTCTCAGAATGCTTCTGTGTATTTTTTGTGTGAAGTTATTCGTTTTTGCACCATAGGCCTCCAAGCGTTCTAAATATCCACTTCTAGATTCTACAAAAAGAGAGTTTCAAAACTACTCAAACAAAAGGTTCAATTCTGTGAGTTGAAAGCAAACATCACAAAGAAGTTTCTCAGAATGCGTCTGTGTAGTTTTGATGTGAAGATATTTCCTTTTCACAGTAGAATGCAAAGGGCTCCAAATATCCACTTGGAGATTCTACAAAAAGAGTTTCAAAACCGCTCTGTCAAATGATAGGTTGAACTCCCGGAGGTGAATACACACATCACAAAGCGGTTTCTCAGCATGCTTCTGTGTAGTTTTTATGTAAACATATTTCCGTTTCTATCATAGGCCTCAAAGTGCTCCAAATATTCACTTGTACATTCTACCAAACGAGTATTTCAAAACTGCTCAATCAAATGGAAGGTTCAAAACCGTGACATGAATGCCCACATCACAAAGTAGTTTCTCAGAATGCTTCTGTGTAGTTTTTATGTGAAGATATTTCCTTTTCCACAACAGCGTGCAAAACGCTTCAAATATGCCCTTAGAGATTCCACAAAAAGAGTGTTTCCAAACTACTCAAATCAAAAAATGATTTCAACTCTGTGAGATGAATGCACACATCACAAACTAGTTTCTCAGAATGTTTCTGCCTGGTTCTCATGCGAAGATAGTTCCTTTTTCACCATAGGCCGCAATGTACTCCAAATATCCACCTGCAGATTCTACAAAAGTGAGTTTCAAAACTGCTCTATCAAAAGATCAGTTCGTCTCTGTGAGTTGAATGCATACATCAAAAAGAAGCTTCTCAAAATGCTTCTGTGTGGTTTTTCGGTGAAGATAGTTCTTTTTCTACCATAGGTCTCAAACCACTCCAAATATCCACTTGTAGATTCTATAAAAAGGAATGTTCAAAATTGCTCAATAAAAATAAAGTTTCAACACCGTGAGATGAGTGCACAAATCACAAAGGAGTTTCTCAAAATGCTTCTGGGTAGTTTTTCTGTGAAGATAGTTCCTTTTCTACCATGGGCCACAAAGGGCTCCAAATACCCACTTGCAGATTCTACAAAAAGAGAGTTTCACAACTGCTCTATCAAACAATATGTTCAACTTTGTGGGTTGAACACAAATATCACAAGAATTTTCTCCCAATGCTTCTGTGTAGTTTTTATGTGAAGACATTTCTTTTCCCTCCATAGTCCACAAAGTGCTCCAAATATCCACTTACATATTCTAGAAAAAGATTGCTTGGAAACTGCACAATGAAAAGAAAGGTTCAAATATATGAGATGAATGCACACATCACAAAGAAGTTTCTCAGAATCTCTCTGTGTAATTTTTATGTGAAGATATTTCCTTTCCCACCTTAGGTCTTAAAACGCTCCAAATATCCACTTGCAGATACTACAAGAAGATTGTTTCAAAACTGCACAAAAAAAGAAATGTTCAATTCTGTTTGATGAATGCACACATCACAAAGAAGTTTCTCAGAATGCTTCTCTGTAGTTTTTATGTGAAGATATTTCCTTTTCCACAATAGGCCTCAAAGGGCTCCAAATATCCACTTCCAGATTCTATGAAAAGAATATTTCCAAACTGCTCAATCATAGGAAATGTTCAACTCTGTGAGATGAATGCACACATCACAAGAAATTTCTCAGAATCCTTCAGTGTAGGTTTTATGAGAAGATAATTCCTTTTCCACAATAGTTCTCAAAGCACTCAAAATATCCACTTGCAGATTCTACAAAAGGAGTATTTCAAAACTGCTCAATCAAAAGAAAGGTTCAACTCTGTGAGATGAATGGACACATCACAAAGAAGTTTCTCAGAATGCTTCTGTGTAGTATTTTTGTGAAGATATTTCTTTTCCACCATAGACCGCCAGGGGACACAAATATCCACTTTCAGATTCTACAACAAGAGAGGTTCAAAACTACTCGATCAAGAGATGGTTTCAACTATGTGAGTTGAATGCACACATCACAAAGAACTATGTCGGAATTCTTCTGTGTAGTTTTTATGTGAAGATATTTCCTTTTCCACAATAGACGTCAAAGTGATCCAGATATCCACTTGCAGATTCCACAAAAAGAGTGTTTCAAAAGTGCACAACCAAAAGAAAGGTTCAACTAGGTGAGATGAATGCACACATCAGAAGGAAGTTTCTCAGAATGCTTCTGCATAGCTTTTAAGGGAAGATACTTCCTTTTCCAACATAGGCCTCAAAGCACTCCAAATATCCTCCTGGAGATACCACAAAAAGAGTGTTTGCAAACTGCTCAATCAAAAGAAAGATTTAACTCTGTGAGATGAATCCACACATGACAAAGAAGTTTCTCAGAATGCTTCTGTGTAGTTTTTATGTGAAGATATTTCCTTTTCCACAATAAGACCCAAAAGGCTCCAAATATTCACTTGCAGATTCTAAAAAAAACAGTGTTTCAAAACTGCTCAATCAAAAGATAGTTCAACTCTGTGAGAAGAATGCTCACATCACTGAGAAGTTTCTCAGAATGCTTCTGTGTAGTTTTTATATGAAGATATTTCCTTTCCCACCGTAGGCCACAAAAGGCTCCAAATATCCACTTGCAGATACTATGAAAAGAGAGTTTCAAAACTGCTCATTCAAAAGATAGGTTCAACTACTGTGGTTTGAATGCACACAGCACAAAGAAGTTTCACAGAATGTGTTCTGTGTAGTTTTTATGTGAAATATTTCCTTTTCCACCATAGGCTTCAAAGTGCTCCAAATATTCACTTGTAAATTATAAAAACAGAATTTTTCAAAAATGCTCAGTTAAAAGAATGTTTCAACACTGTGAGATGAATGCACACATCACAGAAAGTTTCTGGGAATGCTTCTGTGTAGTTTTTATGTGAAGATGTTTCCTTTTCCACCATAGGCTGCAAAGGGCTCCAAATATCCACTTGCAGATTCTACAAAAAGAGAGTTTCAAAAGTGCTCTATCAAAAGATAGGTTCAACTATGTGATATGAATGCACACATCACAAAGTAGTTTCTCAGAATGCTTTCTGTGTAGTTTTCATATGAAGATATTTCCTTTTCCACCGTAGGCCTCAAAGCACTCCAAATATCCACTTGCAGATTCTACAAAAAGAGATTTTCAAAACTAGTCAATCAAAAGAAAGGTTCAACTCTGTCAGTTGAATGCACATATCACAAACAAGTTTCTCGGAATGCGTCTGTGTAGTTTTTATGTGAAGATATTTCCTTCTCCACAACAGGCCTCAAAGTGCTCCGAATATCCACTTGCAGATTTTACTAAAGAGTGTTTCCAAACTGCTCAATCAAGAGGAAGTTTCAAGTCTGTGAGCTGAACGCACACATCACAAAGTAGTTTCTGAGAATGCTTCTGTGTAGTTTTTATGTGAAGATGTTTCCTTTTCCACCATAGGCTGCAAAGGGCTCCAAATATCCACTTGCAGATTCTACAAAAAGAGAGTTTCAAAAGTGCTCTATCAAAAGATAGGTTCAACTATGTGATATGAATGCACACATCACAAAGTAGTTTCTCAGAATGCTTCTGTGTAGTTTTTATGTAAAGATATTTCCTTTTCCACCATAGGCCTCAAAGCACTCCAAATATCCACTTGCAGATTCTACAAAAAGAGATTTTCAAAACTATTTAATCAAAAGAAAGGTTCAAATCTGTCAGTTGAAGGTACATATCACAAACAAGTTTATTGGAATGCTTCTGTGTAGTTTTTATGTGAAGATATTTCCTTTTCCACAACAGGCCTCAAGGTGCTCCAAATATCCACTTGCAGATTTCACTAAAAGTGTGTTTCCAAGCTGCTCAATCAAGAGGAAGTTTCAAGTCTGTGAGGTGAATGCACACATTACAAAGAAGTTACTGAGAATGCTTCTGTGTAGTTTTTATGTGAAGATATTTCCTTTTCCACCGCAGGCCTCAAAGCGCTGCAAATATCCACTTGCAGATTCTACAAAAAGAGAGTTTCAAAACTGCTGTATCAAAAGATAGGGTCAACTCTGCGAGTTGAATAAGCACATCACAAATAAGTTTCTGGGAACGCTTCTGTATAGTTTTATGTGAATATATTTCCTTTTCCACCATATGCCTCAAAGCACTCCAAATATCCACTTGCACATTATAGAAACATAGTCTTTCAAAACTTGTCAATCAAAGAAAGGTTCAACTCCGTGAGATGAGTGCACACATCACAGAGAAGTTTCTCGGAATGTTTCTGTGTAGTTTTTATGTGAAGATATTGCCTTTTCCACAATAGGCCTCAAAGCGTTCCAAATATCCAATTGCAGATTCCACAAAAAAAGTTTTTTAAAACTGCTCAATCAAATGATAGATTAAACTCTGTGAGATTAGTGCACACATGTCAAAAAAGTTTCTCAGAATGCTTCTGTGTACTTTTTAGGGGAAGATATTTCCTTTTCCACCATCGGCCACAAAGGACTCCAAATAACCACATGCAGATTCTAGTAACACAGAGTTTCAAAACTGCTCTATCAAAAGATAAGTTCAACTCTGAGAGTTTAGTGCAACCATCGTGAAGAAGTTTCTCAGAATGCTTCTGAGTAGTGTTTATGTGAAGATATTTCCTTTTCCACCATAGGCCTGAAAGCCCTCCAAATATCCACTTGCAGATCCTACAAAAAGAAAGTTTCGAAATGCTCTCTCAAACGATAGTTTCGACTCTGTGGTATGAATACACACACACATCACAAAGAAGTTTCTCAGAATGCTTTCTGTGTAGTTTTTAAATGAAGATATTTCTTTTTTCCACCATAGGCCTCAAAGCACTCCAAATATGCACTTCCAGATTCTACAAAAAGAGTGTTTCAGAACTGCTCAATCAAAAGGAAGGTTCCAGTCTGAGACAAATACACACATCAAAAGGTAGTTTCTCAGAATGCTTCTGTGTAGTTTTTATGTGAAGATATTTTCCTTTCCACCATAGGCCACAAATGGCTCTAAATACCCACTTACATTTTCCACAAAAAGAGAGTTTCAAAACTGCTCTACCAAAGGTAAGTTTAACGCTGTGAGTTAAGAACATCACAAAGAAGTTTCTCAGAATGCTTCTGTGTAGTTCTTACGTAAAGATATTTCCTTTTACACAATAGGCAGAAAAGTGCTCCAAATATCCACTTGAAGATTCTACAAAAACCGTGTTTCAAAACTGCCGAATCAAAAGAAAGGTTCAACTCTGTGAGATGAATGCACACATAACAAAGGAGTTTCTCAGAATGCTTCTGTGTAGCTTTTATATGAAGACATTTAGTTTTCCACAACAGGCCTCAAAGCTCTCTCCATATCCACTTGCAGATTCTACCGAAAGAGTGCTTCCAAACTGCTCAATCAAAAGAGACATTCAAATCTGTGAGGTGAATGCAGACATCGTAAAGAAGTTTCTCAGAATGCTTCTGTGTATTTTTTGTGTGAAGTTATTCGTTTTTGCACCATAGGCCTCCAAGCGTTCTAAATATCCACTTCTAGATTCTACAAAAAGAGAGTTTCAAAACTACTCAAACAAAAGGTTCAATTCTGTGAGTTGAAAGCAAACATCACAAAGAAGTTTCTCAGAATGCGTCTGTGTAGTTTTGATGTGAAGATATTTCCTTTTCACAGTAGAATGCAAAGGGCTCCAAATATCCACTTGGAGATTCTACAAAAAGAGTTTCAAAACCGCTCTGTCAAATGATAGGTTGAACTCCCGGAGGTGAATACACACATCACAAAGAGGTTTCTCAGCATGCTTCTGTGTAGTTTTTATGTAAACATATTTCCGTTTCTATCATAGGCCTCAAAGTGCTCCAAATATTCACTTGTACATTCTACCAAACGAGTATTTCAAAACTGCTCAATCAAACGGAAGGTTCAAAACCGTGACATGAATGCCCACATCACAAAGTAGTTTCTCAGAATGCTTCTGTGTAGTTTTTATGTGAAGATATTTCCTTTTCCACAACAGCGTGCAAAACGCTTCAAATATGCCCTTAGAGATTCCACAAAAAGAGTGTTTCCAAACTACTCAAATCAAAAAATGATTTCAACTCTGTGAGATGAATGCACACATCACAAACTAGTTTCTCAGAATGTTTCTGCCTGGTTCTCATGCGAAGATAGTTCCTTTTTCACCATAGGCCGCAATGTACTCCAAATATCCACCTGCAGATTCTACAAAAGTGAGTTTCAAAACTGCTCTATCAAAAGATCAGTTCGTCTCTGTGAGTTGAATGCATACATCAAAAAGAAGCTTCTCAAAATGCTTCTGTGTGGTTTTTCGGTGAAGATAGTTCTTTTTCTACCATAGGTCTCAAACCACTCCAAATATCCACTTGTAGATTCTATAAAAAGGAATGTTCAAAATTGCTCAATAAAAATAAAGTTTCAACACCGTGAGATGAGTGCACAAATCACAAAGGAGTTTCTCAAAATGCTTCTGGGTAGTTTTTCTGTGAAGAAGTTCCTTTTCTACCATGGGCCACAAAGGGCTCCAAATACCCACTTGCAGATTCTACAAAAAGAGAGTTTCACAACTGCTCTATCAAACAATATGTTCAACTTTGTGGGTTGAACACAAATATCACAAGAATTTTCTCCCAATGCTTCTGTGTAGTTTTTATGTGAAGACATTTCTTTTCCCTCCATAGTCCACAAAGTGCTCCAAATATCCACTTACATATTCTAGAAAAAGATTGCTTGGAAACTGCACAATGAAAAGAAAGGTTCAAATATATGAGATGAATGCACACATCACAAAGAAGTTTCTCAGAATCTCTCTGTGTAATTTTTATGTGAAGATATTTCCTTTCCCACCTTAGGTCTTAAAACGCTCCAAATATCCACTTGCAGATACTACAAGAAGATTGTTTCAAAACTGCACAAAAAAAGAAATGTTCAATTCTGTTTGATGAATGCACACATCACAAAGAAGTTTCTCAGAATGCTTCTCTGTAGTTTTTATGTGAAGATATTTCCTTTTCCACAATAGGCCTCAAAGGGCTCCAAATATCCACTTCCAGATTCTATGAAAAGAATATTTCCAAACTGCTCAATCATAGGAAATGTTCAACTCTGTGAGATGAATGCACACATCACAAGAAATTTCTCAGAATCCTTCAGTGTAGGTTTTATGAGAAGATAATTCCTTTTCCACAATAGTTCTCAAAGCACTCAAAATATCCACTTGCAGATTCTACAAAAGGAGTATTTCAAAACTGCTCAATCAAAAGAAAGGTTCAACTCTGTGGGATGAATGGACACATCACAAAGAAGTTTCTCAGAATGCTTCTGTGTAGTATTTTTGTGAAGATATTTCTTTTCCACCATAGACCGCCAGGGGACACAAATATCCACTTTCAGATTCTACAACAAGAGAGGTTCAAAACTACTCGATCAAGAGATGGTTTCAACTATGTGAGTTGAATGCACACATCACAAAGAACTATGTCGGAATTCTTCTGTGTAGTTTTTATGTGAAGATATTTCCTTTTCCACAATAGACGTCAAAGTGATCCAGATATCCACTTGCAGATTCCACAAAAAGAGTGTTTCAAAAGTGCACAACCAAAAGAAAGGTTCAACTAGGTGAGATGAATGCACACATCAGAAGGAAGTTTCTCAGAATGCTTCTGCATAGCTTTTAAGGGAAGATACTTCCTTTTCCAACATAGGCCTCAAAGCACTCCAAATATCCTCCTGGAGATACCACAAAAAGAGTGTTTGCAAACTGCTCAATCAAAAGAAAGATTTAACTCTGTGAGATGAATCCACACATGACAAAGAAGTTTCTCAGAATGCTTCTGTGTAGTTTTTATGTGAAGATATTTCCTTTTCCACAATAAGACCCAAAAGGCTCCAAATATTCACTTGCAGATTCTAAAAAAAACAGTGTTTCAAAACTGCTCAATCAAAAGATAGTTCAACTCTGTGAGAAGAATGCTCACATCACTGAGAAGTTTCTCAGAATGCTTCTGTGTAGTTTTTATGTGAAGATATTTCCTTTTCCACAATAAGACCCAAAAGGCTCCAAATATTCACTTGCAGATTCTAAAAAAAACAGTGTTTCAAAACTGCTCAATCAAAAGATAGTTCAACTCTGTGAGAAGAATGCTCACATCACTGAGAAGTTTCTCAGAATGCTTCTGTGTAGTTTTTATATGAAGATATTTCCTTTCCCACCGTAGGCCACAAAAGGCTCCAAATATCCACTTGCAGATACTATGAAAAGAGAGTTTCAAAACTGCTCATTCAAAAGATAGGTTCAACTCTGTGGTTTGAATGCACACAGCACAAAGAAGTTTCACAGAATGTGTCTGTGTAGTTTTTATGTGCGGATGTTTCCTTTTCCACCATATGCCTAAATATTTCCCAATTTCCACTTGCAGATTCCACAAGAAGAGTGTTTCAAAACTGCTGTATCAAATAAAGTTGAACTCTGTGAGGTGAATGCACACAGCACAAAATGGTTTCTCAGAATGCTTCCTTGTTGTTTTTATATGAAGATGTTTCCTTTTCAACAATAGGCCTCAAAGTGCTTCAAATGTCCACTTGCAGATTCTACAAAAAGAGTGTTTCAAAACTGCTCAATCAAAAGAAAGGTTCGACTCTGGGAAATTAATGCACACATCACAAAGAAGTTTCTCAGCTTCTGTGTAGTTTTCATGTGAAGTTATTTCCTTTTCCACAATAGGCCGCAAAGGGCTCCAAATATCAACTTACAGATTCTAGGAAAAGAGAGTTTCAAAACTGCTCTACGAAAAGATAGGTTGAACTCTGTGAGATGAATGCACACATCACAAAGAAGTTTCTCAGAATGCATCTGTGTAGTTTTTACGGGAAGACATTTCCTTTTCCACCATCTTCCACAAAGGTCTCCAAGTAACCACTTGCAGATTCTACAGAAAGACACTTTAAAAACTGCTCTATCAAAAGATCAGTTCAAGTCTGTGGTTTGAATGCACACATCACAAAGAATTTTCTCAGAATGCTTCTGTGTAGTTTTCATATGAAGATATTTCCTTTTCCACCATAGGCCTCAAAGCACTCCAAATATCCACTTGCAGATTCTACAAAAAGAGATTTTCAAAACTAGTCAATCAAAAGAAAGGTTCAACTCTGTCAGTTGAATGCACATATCACAAACAAGTTTCTCGGAATGCGTCTGTGTAGTTTTTATGTGAAGATATTTCCTTCTCCACAACAGGCCTCAAAGTGCTCCGAATATCCACTTGCAGATTTTACTAAAGAGTGTTTCCAAACTGCTCAATCAAGAGGAAGTTTCAAGTCTGTGAGCTGAACGCACACATCACAAAGTAGTTTCTGAGAATGCTTCTGTGTAGTTTTTATGTGAAGATGTTTCCTTTTCCACCATAGGCTGCAAAGGGCTCCAAATATCCACTTGCAGATTCTACAAAAAGAGAGTTTCAAAAGTGCTCTATCAAAAGATAGGTTCAACTATGTGATATGAATGCACACATCACAAAGTAGTTTCTCAGAATGCTTCTGTGTAGTTTTTATGTAAAGATATTTCCTTTTCCACCATAGGCCTCAAAGCACTCCAAATATCCACTTGCAGATTCTACAAAAAGAGATTTTCAAAACTATTTAATCAAAAGAAAGGTTCAAATCTGTCAGTTGAAGGTACATATCACAAACAAGTTTATTGGAATGCTTCTGTGTAGTTTTTATGTGAAGATATTTCCTTTTCCACAACAGGCCTCAAGGTGCTCCAAATATCCACTTGCAGATTTC
The DNA here is from genome assembly GCF_000001405.40 of Homo sapiens. Lineage (NCBI taxonomy): Eukaryota > Metazoa > Chordata > Mammalia > Primates > Hominidae > Homo > Homo sapiens. Next base: position 10,427,864 of record NC_000024.10, on the reverse strand, counting down.
ACTAAAAGTGTGTTTCCAAGCTGCTCAATCAAGAGGAAGTTTCAAGTCTGTGAGGTGAATGCACACATTACAAAGAAGTTACTGAGAATGCTTCTGTGTAGTTTTTATGTGAAGATATTTCCTTTTCCACCGCAGGCCTCAAAGCGCTGCAAATATCCACTTGCAGATTCTACAAAAAGAGAGTTTCAAAACTGCTGTATCAAAAGATAGGGTCAACTCTGCGAGTTGAATAAACACATCACAAATAAGTTTCTGGGAACGCTTCTGTATAGTTTTATGTGAATATATTTCCTTTTCCACCATATGCCTCAAAGCACTCCAAATATCCACTTGCACATTATAGAAACATAGTCTTTCAAAACTTGTCAATCAAAGAAAGGTTCAACTCCGTGAGATGAGTGCACACATCACAGAGAAGTTTCTCGGAATGTTTCTGTGTAGTTTTTATGTGAAGATATTGCCTTTTCCACAATAGGCCTCAAAGCGTTCCAAATATCCAATTGCAGATTCCACAAAAAAAGTTTTTTAAAACTGCTCAATCAAATGATAGATTAAACTCTGTGAGATTAGTGCACACATGTCAAAAAAGTTTCTCAGAATGCTTCTGTGTACTTTTTAGGGGAAGATATTTCCTTTTCCACCATCGGCCACAAAGGACTCCAAATAACCACATGCAGATTCTAGTAACACAGAGTTTCAAAACTGCTCTATCAAAAGATAAGTTCAACTCTGAGAGTTTAGTGCAACCATCGTGAAGAAGTTTCTCAGAATGCTTCTGAGTAGTGTTTATGTGAAGATATTTCCTTTTCCACCATAGGCCTGAAAGCCCTCCAAATATCCACTTGCAGATCCTACAAAAAGAAAGTTTCGAAATGCTCTCTCAAACGATAGTTTCGACTCTGTGGTATGAATACACACACACATCACAAAGAAGTTTCTCAGAATGCTTTCTGTGTAGTTTTTAAATGAAGATATTTCTTTTTTCCACCATAGGCCTCAAAGCACTCCAAATATGCACTTCCAGATTCTACAAAAAGAGTGTTTCAGAACTGCTCAATCAAAAGGAAGGTTCCAGTCTGAGACAAATACACACATCAAAAGGTAGTTTCTCAGAATGCTTCTGTGTAGTTTTTATGTGAAGATATTTTCCTTTCCACCATAGGCCACAAATGGCTCTAAATACCCACTTACATTTTCCACAAAAAGAGAGTTTCAAAACTGCTCTACCAAAGGTAAGTTTAACGCTGTGAGTTAAGAACATCACAAAGAAGTTTCTCAGAATGCTTCTGTGTAGTTCTTACGTAAAGATATTTCCTTTTACACAATAGGCAGAAAAGTGCTCCAAATATCCACTTGAAGATTCTACAAAAACCGTGTTTCAAAACTGCCGAATCAAAAGAAAGGTTCAACTCTGTGAGATGAATGCACACATAACAAAGGAGTTTCTCAGAATGCTTCTGTGTAGCTTTTATATGAAGACATTTAGTTTTCCACAACAGGCCTCAAAGCTCTCTCCATATCCACTTGCAGATTCTACCGAAAGAGTGCTTCCAAACTGCTCAATCAAAAGAGACATTCAAATCTGTGAGGTGAATGCAGACATCGTAAAGAAGTTTCTCAGAATGCTTCTGTGTATTTTTTGTGTGAAGTTATTCGTTTTTGCACCATAGGCCTCCAAGCGTTCTAAATATCCACTTCTAGATTCTACAAAAAGAGAGTTTCAAAACTACTCAAACAAAAGGTTCAATTCTGTGAGTTGAAAGCAAACATCACAAAGAAGTTTCTCAGAATGCGTCTGTGTAGTTTTGATGTGAAGATATTTCCTTTTCACAGTAGAATGCAAAGGGCTCCAAATATCCACTTGGAGATTCTACAAAAAGAGTTTCAAAACCGCTCTGTCAAATGATAGGTTGAACTCCCGGAGGTGAATACACACATCACAAAGAGGTTTCTCAGCATGCTTCTGTGTAGTTTTTATGTAAACATATTTCCGTTTCTATCATAGGCCTCAAAGTGCTCCAAATATTCACTTGTACATTCTACCAAACGAGTATTTCAAAACTGCTCAATCAAATGGAAGGTTCAAAACCGTGACATGAATGCCCACATCACAAAGTAGTTTCTCAGAATGCTTCTGTGTAGTTTTTATGTGAAGATATTTCCTTTTCCACAACAGCGTGCAAAACGCTTCAAATATGCCCTTAGAGATTCCACAAAAAGAGTGTTTCCAAACTACTCAAATCAAAAAATGATTTCAACTCTGTGAGATGAATGCACACATCACAAACTAGTTTCTCAGAATGTTTCTGCCTGGTTCTCATGCGAAGATAGTTCCTTTTTCACCATAGGCCGCAATGTACTCCAAATATCCACCTGCAGATTCTACAAAAGTGAGTTTCAAAACTGCTCTATCAAAAGATCAGTTCGTCTCTGTGAGTTGAATGCATACATCAAAAAGAAGCTTCTCAAAATGCTTCTGTGTGGTTTTTCGGTGAAGATAGTTCTTTTTCTACCATAGGTCTCAAACCACTCCAAATATCCACTTGTAGATTCTATAAAAAGGAATGTTCAAAATTGCTCAATAAAAATAAAGTTTCAACACCGTGAGATGAGTGCACAAATCACAAAGGAGTTTCTCAAAATGCTTCTGGGTAGTTTTTCTGTGAAGATAGTTCCTTTTCTACCATGGGCCACAAAGGGCTCCAAATACCCACTTGCAGATTCTACAAAAAGAGAGTTTCACAACTGCTCTATCAAACAATATGTTCAACTTTGTGGGTTGAACACAAATATCACAAGAATTTTCTCCCAATGCTTCTGTGTAGTTTTTATGTGAAGACATTTCTTTTCCCTCCATAGTCCACAAAGTGCTCCAAATATCCACTTACATATTCTAGAAAAAGATTGCTTGGAAACTGCACAATGAAAAGAAAGGTTCAAATATATGAGATGAATGCACACATCACAAAGAAGTTTCTCAGAATCTCTCTGTGTAATTTTTATGTGAAGATATTTCCTTTCCCACCTTAGGTCTTAAAACGCTCCAAATATCCACTTGCAGATACTACAAGAAGATTGTTTCAAAACTGCACAAAAAAAGAAATGTTCAATTCTGTTTGATGAATGCACACATCACAAAGAAGTTTCTCAGAATGCTTCTCTGTAGTTTTTATGTGAAGATATTTCCTTTTCCACAATAGGCCTCAAAGGGCTCCAAATATCCACTTCCAGATTCTATGAAAAGAATATTTCCAAACTGCTCAATCATAGGAAATGTTCAACTCTGTGAGATGAATGCACACATCACAAGAAATTTCTCAGAATCCTTCAGTGTAGGTTTTATGAGAAGATAATTCCTTTTCCACAATAGTTCTCAAAGCACTCAAAATATCCACTTGCAGATTCTACAAAAGGAGTATTTCAAAACTGCTCAATCAAAAGAAAGGTTCAACTCTGTGGGATGAATGGACACATCACAAAGAAGTTTCTCAGAATGCTTCTGTGTAGTATTTTTGTGAAGATATTTCTTTTCCACCATAGACCGCCAGGGGACACAAATATCCACTTTCAGATTCTACAACAAGAGAGGTTCAAAACTACTCGATCAAGAGATGGTTTCAACTATGTGAGTTGAATGCACACATCACAAAGAACTATGTCGGAATTCTTCTGTGTAGTTTTTATGTGAAGATATTTCCTTTTCCACAATAGACGTCAAAGTGATCCAGATATCCACTTGCAGATTCCACAAAAAGAGTGTTTCAAAAGTGCACAACCAAAAGAAAGGTTCAACTAGGTGAGATGAATGCACACATCAGAAGGAAGTTTCTCAGAATGCTTCTGCATAGCTTTTAAGGGAAGATACTTCCTTTTCCAACATAGGCCTCAAAGCACTCCAAATATCCTCCTGGAGATACCACAAAAAGAGTGTTTGCAAACTGCTCAATCAAAAGAAAGATTTAACTCTGTGAGATGAATCCACACATGACAAAGAAGTTTCTCAGAATGCTTCTGTGTAGTTTTTATGTGAAGATATTTCCTTTTCCACAATAAGACCCAAAAGGCTCCAAATATTCACTTGCAGATTCTAAAAAAAACAGTGTTTCAAAACTGCTCAATCAAAAGATAGTTCAACTCTGTGAGAAGAATGCTCACATCACTGAGAAGTTTCTCAGAATGCTTCTGTGTAGTTTTTATATGAAGATATTTCCTTTCCCACCGTAGGCCACAAAAGGCTCCAAATATCCACTTGCAGATACTATGAAAAGAGAGTTTCAAAACTGCTCATTCAAAAGATAGGTTCAACTCTGTGGTTTGAATGCACACAGCACAAAGAAGTTTCACAGAATGTGTCTGTGTAGTTTTTATGTGCGGATGTTTCCTTTTCCACCATATGCCTAAATATTTCCCAATTTCCACTTGCAGATTCCACAAGAAGAGTGTTTCAAAACTGCTGTATCAAATAAAGTTGAACTCTGTGAGGTGAATGCACACAGCACAAAATGGTTTCTCAGAATGCTTCCTTGTTGTTTTTATATGAAGATGTTTCCTTTTCAACAATAGGCCTCAAAGTGCTTCAAATGTCCACTTGCAGATTCTACAAAAAGAGTGTTTCAAAACTGCTCAATCAAAAGAAAGGTTCGACTCTGGGAAATTAATGCACACATCACAAAGAAGTTTCTCAGCTTCTGTGTAGTTTTCATGTGAAGTTATTTCCTTTTCCACAATAGGCCGCAAAGGGCTCCAAATATCAACTTACAGATTCTAGGAAAAGAGAGTTTCAAAACTGCTCTACGAAAAGATAGGTTGAACTCTGTGAGATGAATGCACACATCACAAAGAAGTTTCTCAGAATGCATCTGTGTAGTTTTTACGGGAAGACATTTCCTTTTCCACCATCTTCCACAAAGGTCTCCAAGTAACCACTTGCAGATTCTACAGAAAGACACTTTAAAAACTGCTCTATCAAAAGATCAGTTCAAGTCTGTGGTTTGAATGCACACATCACAAAGAATTTTCTCAGAATGCTTCTGTGTAGTTTTCATATGAAGATATTTCCTTTTCCACCATAGGCCTCAAAGCACTCCAAATATCCACTTGCAGATTCTACAAAAAGAGATTTTCAAAACTAGTCAATCAAAAGAAAGGTTCAACTCTGTCAGTTGAATGCACATATCACAAACAAGTTTCTCGGAATGCGTCTGTGTAGTTTTTATGTGAAGATATTTCCTTCTCCACAACAGGCCTCAAAGTGCTCCGAATATCCACTTGCAGATTTTACTAAAGAGTGTTTCCAAACTGCTCAATCAAGAGGAAGTTTCAAGTCTGTGAGCTGAACGCACACATCACAAAGTAGTTTCTGAGAATGCTTCTGTGTAGTTTTTATGTGAAGATGTTTCCTTTTCCACCATAGGCTGCAAAGGGCTCCAAATATCCACTTGCAGATTCTACAAAAAGAGAGTTTCAAAAGTGCTCTATCAAAAGATAGGTTCAACTATGTGATATGAATGCACACATCACAAAGTAGTTTCTCAGAATGCTTTCTGTGTAGTTTTTATGTAAAGATATTTCCTTTTCCACCATAGGCCTCAAAGCACTCCAAATATCCACTTGCAGATTCTACAAAAAGAGATTTTCAAAACTATTTAATCAAAAGAAAGGTTCAAATCTGTCAGTTGAAGGTACATATCACAAACAAGTTTATTGGAATGCTTCTGTGTAGTTTTTATGTGAAGATATTTCCTTTTCCACAACAGGCCTCAAGGTGCTCCAAATATCCACTTGCAGATTTCACTAAAAGTGTGTTTCCAAGCTGCTCAATCAAGTAGGAAGTTTCAAGTCTGTGAGGTGAATGCACACATTACAAAGAAGTTACTGAGAATGCTTCTGTGTAGTTTTTATGTGAAGATATTTCCTTTTCCACCGCAGGCCTCAAAGCGCTGCAAATATCCACTTGCAGATTCTACAAAAAGAGAGTTTCAAAACTGCTGTATCAAAAGATAGGGTCAACTCTGCGAGTTGAATAAACACATCACAAATAAGTTTCTGGGAACGCTTCTGTATAGTTTTATGTGAATATATTTCCTTTTCCACCATATGCCTCAAAGCACTCCAAATATCCACTTGCACATTATAGAAACATAGTCTTTCAAAACTTGTCAATCAAAGAAAGGTTCAACTCCGTGAGATGAGTGCACACATCACAGAGAAGTTTCTCGGAATGTTTCTGTGTAGTTTTTATGTGAAGATATTGCCTTTTCCACAATAGGCCTCAAAGCGTTCCAAATATCCAATTGCAGATTCCACAAAAAAAGTTTTTTAAAACTGCTCAATCAAATGATAGATTAAACTCTGTGAGATTAGTGCACACATGTCAAAAAAGTTTCTCAGAATGCTTCTGTGTACTTTTTAGGGGAAGATATTTCCTTTTCCACCATCGGCCACAAAGGACTCCAAATAACCACATGCAGATTCTAGTAACACAGAGTTTCAAAACTGCTCTATCAAAAGATAAGTTCAACTCTGAGAGTTTAGTGCAACCATCGTGAAGAAGTTTCTCAGAATGCTTCTGAGTAGTGTTTATGTGAAGATATTTCCTTTTCCACCATAGGCCTGAAAGCCCTCCAAATATCCACTTGCAGATCCTACAAAAAGAAAGTTTCGAAATGCTCTCTCAAACGATAGTTTCGACTCTGTGGTATGAATACACACATCACAAAGAAGTTTCTCAGAATGCTTCTGTGTAGTTTTTAAATGAAGATATTTCTTTTTCCACCATAGGCCTCAAAGCACTCCAAATATGCACTTCCAGATTCTACAAAAAGAGTGTTTCAGAACTGCTCAATCAAAAGGAAGGTTCCAGTCTGAGACAAATACACACATCAAAAGGTAGTTTCTCAGAATGCTTCTGTGTAGTTTTTATGTGAAGATATTTTCCTTTCCACCATAGGCCACAAATGGCTCTAAATACCCACTTACATTTTCCACAAAAAGAGAGTTTCAAAACTGCTCTACCAAAGGTAAGTTTAACGCTGTGAGTTAAGAACATCACAAAGAAGTTTCTCAGAATGCTTCTGTGTAGTTCTTACGTAAAGATATTTCCTTTTACACAATAGGCAGAAAAGTGCTCCAAATATCCACTTGAAGATTCTACAAAAACCGTGTTTCAAAACTGCCGAATCAAAAGAAAGGTTCAACTCTGTGAGATGAATGCACACATAACAAAAGAGTTTCTCAGAATGCTTCTGTGTAGCTTTTATATGAAGACATTTAGTTTTCCACAACAGGCCTCAAAGCTCTCTCCATATCCACTTGCAGATTCTACCGAAAGAGTGCTTCCAAACTGCTCAATCAAAAGAGACATTCAAATCTGTGAGGTGAATGCAGACATCGTAAAGAAGTTTCTCAGAATGCTTCTGTGTATTTTTTGTGTGAAGTTATTCGTTTTTGCACCATAGGCCTCCAAGCGTTCTAAATATCCACTTCTAGATTCTACAAAAAGAGAGTTTCAAAACTACTCAAACAAAAGGTTCAATTCTGTGAGTTGAAAGCAAACATCACAAAGAAGTTTCTCAGAATGCGTCTGTGTAGTTTTTATGTGAAGATATTTCCTTTTCACAGTAGAATGCAAAGGGCTCCAAATATCCACTTGGAGATTCTACAAAAAGAGTTTCAAAACCGCTCTGTCAAATGATAGGTTGAACTCCCGGAGGTGAATACACACATCACAAAGAGGTTTCTCAGCATGCTTCTGTGTAGTTTTTATGTAAACATATTTCCGTTTCTATCATAGGCCTCAAAGTGCTCCAAATATTCACTTGTACATTCTACCAAACGAGTATTTCAAAACTGCTCAATCAAATGGAAGGTTCAAAACCGTGACATGAATGCCCACATCACAAAGTAGTTTCTCAGAATGCTTCTGTGTAGTTTTTATGTGAAGATATTTCCTTTTCCACAACAGCGTGCAAAACGCTTCAAATATGCCCTTAGAGATTCCACAAAAAGAGTGTTTCCAAACTACTCAAATCAAAAAATGATTTCAACTCTGTGAGATGAATGCACACATCACAAACTAGTTTCTCAGAATGTTTCTGCCTGGTTCTCATGCGAAGATAGTTCCTTTTTCACCATAGGCCGCAATGTACTCCAAATATCCACCTGCAGATTCTACAAAAGTGAGTTTCAAAACTGCTCTATCAAAAGATCAGTTCGTCTCTGTGAGTTGAATGCATACATCAAAAAGAAGCTTCTCAAAATGCTTCTGTGTGGTTTTTCGGTGAAGATAGTTCTTTTTCTACCATAGGTCTCAAACCACTCCAAATATCCACTTGTAGATTCTATAAAAAGGAATGTTCAAAATTGCTCAATAAAAATAAAGTTTCAACACCGTGAGATGAGTGCACAAATCACAAAGGAGTTTCTCAAAATGCTTCTGGGTAGTTTTTCTGTGAAGATAGTTCCTTTTCTACCATGGGCCACAAAGGGCTCCAAATACCCACTTGCAGATTCTACAAAAAGAGAGTTTCACAACTGCTCTATCAAACAATATGTTCAACTTTGTGGGTTGAACACAAATATCACAAGAATTTTCTCCCAATGCTTCTGTGTAGTTTTTATGTGAAGACATTTCTTTTCCCTCCATAGTCCACAAAGTGCTCCAAATATCCACTTACATATTCTAGAAAAAGATTGCTTGGAAACTGCACAATGAAAAGAAAGGTTCAAATATATGAGATGAATGCACACATCACAAAGAAGTTTCTCAGAATCTCTCTGTGTAATTTTTATGTGAAGATATTTCCTTTCCCACCTTAGGTCTTAAAACGCTCCAAATATCCACTTGCAGATACTACAAGAAGATTGTTTCAAAACTGCACAAAAAAAGAAATGTTCAATTCTGTTTGATGAATGCACACATCACAAAGAAGTTTCTCAGAATGCTTCTCTGTAGTTTTTATGTGAAGATATTTCCTTTTCCACAATAGGCCTCAAAGGGCTCCAAATATCCACTTCCAGATTCTATGAAAAGAATATTTCCAAACTGCTCAATCATAGGAAATGTTCAACTCTGTGAGATGAATGCACACATCACAAGAAATTTCTCAGAATCCTTCAGTGTAGGTTTTATGAGAAGATAATTCCTTTTCCACAATAGTTCTCAAAGCACTCAAAATATCCACTTGCAGATTCTACAAAAGGAGTATTTCAAAACTGCTCAATCAAAAGAAAGGTTCAACTCTGTGAGATGAATGGACACATCACAAAGAAGTTTCTCAGAATGCTTCTGTGTAGTATTTTTGTGAAGATATTTCTTTTCCACCATAGACCGCCAGGGGACACAAATATCCACTTTCAGATTCTACAACAAGAGAGGTTCAAAACTACTCGATCAAGAGATGGTTTCAACTATGTGAGTTGAATGCACACATCACAAAGAACTATGTCGGAATTCTTTCTGTGTAGTTTTTATGTGAAGATATTTCCTTTTCCACAATAGACGTCAAAGTGATCCAGATATCCACTTGCAGATTCCACAAAAAGAGTGTTTCAAAAGTGCACAACCAAAAGAAAGGTTCAACTAGGTGAGATGAATGCACACATCAGAAGGAAGTTTCTCAGAATGCTTCTGCATAGCTTTTAAGGGAAGATACTTCCTTTTCCAACATAGGCCTCAAAGCACTCCAAATATCCTCCTGGAGATACCACAAAAAGAGTGTTTGCAAACTGCTCAATCAAAAGAAAGATTTAACTCTGTGAGATGAATCCACACATGACAAAGAAGTTTCTCAGAATGCTTCTGTGTAGTTTTTATGTGAAGATATTTCCTTTTCCACAATAAGACCCAAAAGGCTCCAAATATTCACTTGCAGATTCTAAAAAAAACAGTGTTTCAAAACTGCTCAATCAAAAGATAGTTCAACTCTGTGAGAAGAATGCTCACATCACTGAGAAGTTTCTCAGAATGCTTCTGTGTAGTTTTTATATGAAGATATTTCCTTTCCCACCGTAGGCCACAAAAGGCTCCAAATATCCACTTGCAGATACTATGAAAAGAGAGTTTCAAAACTGCTCATTCAAAAGATAGGTTCAACTCTGTGGTTTGAATGCACACAGCACAAAGAAGTTTCACAGAATGTGTCTGTGTAGTTTTTATGTGCGGATGTTTCCTTTTCCACCATATGCCTAAATATTTCCCAATTTCCACTTGCAGATTCCACAAGAAGAGTGTTTCAAAACTGCTGTATCAAATAAAGTTGAACTCTGTGAGGTGAATGCACACAGCACAAAATGGTTTCTCAGAATGCTTTCCTTGTTGTTTTTATATGAAGATGTTTCCTTTTCAACAATAGGCCTCAAAGTGCTTCAAATGTCCACTTGCAGATTCTACAAAAAGAGTGTTTCAAAACTGCTCAATCAAAAGAAAGGTTCGACTCTGGGAAATTAATGCACACATCACAAAGAAGTTTCTCAGCTTCTGTGTAGTTTTCATGTGAAGTTATTTCCTTTTCCACAATAGGCCGCAAAGGGCTCCAAATATCAACTTACAGATTCTAGGAAAAGAGAGTTTCAAAACTGCTCTACGAAAAGATAGGTTGAACTCTGTGAGATGAATGCACACATCACAAAGAAGTTTCTCAGAATGCATCTGTGTAGTTTTTACGGGAAGACATTTCCTTTTCCACCATCTTCCACAAAGGTCTCCAAGTAACCACTTGCAGATTCTACAGAAAGACACTTTAAAAACTGCTCTATCAAAAGATCAGTTCAAGTCTGTGGTTTGAATGCACACATCACAAAGAATTTTCTCAGAATGCTTCTGTGTAGTTTTCATATGAAGATATTTCCTTTTCCACCATAGGCCTCAAAGCACTCCAAATATCCACTTGCAGATTCTACAAAAAGAGATTTTCAAAACTAGTCAATCAAAAGAAAGGTTCAACTCTGTCAGTTGAATGCACATATCACAAACAAGTTTCTCGGAATGCGTCTGTGTAGTTTTTATGTGAAGATATTTCCTTCTCCACAACAGGCCTCAAAGTGCTCCGAATATCCACTTGCAGATTTTACTAAAGAGTGTTTCCAAACTGCTCAATCAAGAGGAAGTTTCAAGTCTGTGAGCTGAACGCACACATCACAAAGTAGTTTCTGAGAATGCTTCTGTGTAGTTTTTATGTGAAGATGTTTTCTTTTCCACCATAGGCTGCAAAGGGCTCCAAATATCCACTTGCAGATTCTACAAAAAGAGAGTTTCAAAAGTGCTCTATCAAAAGATAGGTTCAACTATGTGATATGAATGCACACATCACAAAGTAGTTTCTCAGAATGCTTCTGTGTAGTTTTTATGTAAAGATATTTCCTTTTCCACCATAGGCCTCAAAGCACTCCAAATATCCACTTGCAGATTCTACAAAAAGAGATTTTCAAAACTATTTAATCAAAAGAAAGGTTCAAATCTGTCAGTTGAAGGTACATATCACAAACAAGTTTATTGGAATGCTTCTGTGTAGTTTTTATGTGAAGATATTTCCTTTTCCACAACAGGCCTCAAGGTGCTCCAAATATCCACTTGCAGATTTCACTAAAAGTGTGTTTCCAAGCTGCTCAATCAAGAGGAAGTTTCAAGTCTGTGAGGTGAATGCACACATTACAAAGAAGTTACTGAGAATGCTTCTGTGTAGTTTTTATGTGAAGATATTTCCTTTTCCACCGCAGGCCTCAAAGCGCTGCAAATATCCACTTGCAGATTCTACAAAAAGAGAGTTTCAAAACTGCTGTATCAAAAGATAGGGTCAACTCTGCGAGTTGAATAAACACATCACAAATAAGTTTCTGGGAACGCTTCTGTATAGTTTTATGTGAATATATTTCCTTTTCCACCATATGCCTCAAAGCACTCCAAATATCCACTTGCACATTATAGAAACATAGTCTTTCAAAACTTGTCAATCAAAGAAAGGTTCAACTCCGTGAGATGAGTGCACACATCACAGAGAAGTTTCTCGGAATGTTTCTGTGTAGTTTTTATGTGAAGATATTGCCTTTTCCACAATAGGCCTCAAAGCGTTCCAAATATCCAATTGCAGATTCCACAAAAAAAGTTTTTTAAAACTGCTCAATCAAATGATAGATTAAACTCTGTGAGATTAGTGCACACATGTCAAAAAAGTTTCTCAGAATGCTTCTGTGTACTTTTTAGGGGAAGATATTTCCTTTTCCACCATCGGCCACAAAGGACTCCAAATAACCACATGCAGATTCTAGTAACACAGAGTTTCAAAACTGCTCTATCAAAAGATAAGTTCAACTGAGAGTTTAGTGCAACCATCGTGAAGAAGTTTCTCAGAATGCTTCTGAGTAGTGTTTATGTGAAGATATTTCCTTTTCCACCATAGGCCTGAAAGCCCTCCAAATATCCACTTGCAGATCCTACAAAAAGAAAGTTTCGAAATGCTCTCTCAAACGATAGTTTCGACTCTGTGGTATGAATACACACATCACAAAGAAGTTTCTCAGAATGCTTCTGTGTAGTTTTTAAATGAAGATATTTCTTTTTCCACCATAGGCCTCAAAGCACTCCAAATATGCACTTCCAGATTCTACAAAAAGAGTGTTTCAGAACTGCTCAATCAAAAGGAAGGTTCCAGTCTGAGACAAATACACACATCAAAAGGTAGTTTCTCAGAATGCTTCTGTGTAGTTTTTATGTGAAGATATTTTCCTTTCCACCATAGGCCACAAATGGCTCTAAATACCCACTTACATTTTCCACAAAAAGAGAGTTTCAAAACTGCTCTACCAAAGGTAAGTTTAACGCTGTGAGTTAAGAACATCACAAAGAAGTTTCTCAGAATGCTTCTGTGTAGTTCTTACGTAAAGATATTCCTTTTACACAATAGGCAGAAAAGTGCTCCAAATATCCACTTGAAGATTCTACAGAAACCGTGTTTCAAAACTGCCGAATCAAAAGAAAGGTTCAACTCTGTGAGATGAATGCACACATAACAAAGGAGTTTCTCAGAATGCTTCTGTGTAGCTTTTATATGAAGACATTTAGTTTTCCACAACAGGCCTCAAAGCTCTCTCCATATCCACTTGCAGATTCTACCGAAAGAGTGCTTCCAAACTGCTCAATCAAAAGAGACATTCAAATCTGTGAGGTGAATGCAGACATCGTAAAGAAGTTTCTCAGAATGCTTCTGTGTATTTTTTGTGTGAAGTTATTCGTTTTTGCACCATAGGCCTCCAAGCGTTCTAAATATCCACTTCTAGATTCTACAAAAAGAGAGTTTCAAAACTACTCAAACAAAAGGTTCAATTCTGTGAGTTGAAAGCAAACATCACAAAGAAGTTTCTCAGAATGCGTCTGTGTAGTTTTGATGTGAAGATATTTCCTTTTCACAATAGAATGCAAAGGGCTCCAAATATCCACTTGGAGATTCTACAAAAAGAGTTTCAAAACCGCTCTGTCAAATGATAGGTTGAACTCCCGGAGGTGAATACACACATCACAAAGAGGTTTCTCAGCATGCTTCTGTGTAGTTTTTATGTAAACATATTTCCGTTTCTATCATAGGCCTCAAAGTGCTCCAAATATTCACTTGTACATTCTACCAAACGAGTATTTCAAAACTGCTCAATCAAATGGAAGGTTCAAAACTGTGACATGAATGCCCACATCACAAAGTAGTTTCTCAGAATGCTTCTGTGTAGTTTTTATGTGAAGATATTTCCTTTTCCACAACAGCGTGCAAAACGCTTCAAATATGCCCTTAGAGATTCCACAAAAAGAGTGTTTCCAAACTACTCAAATCAAAAAATGATTTCAACTCTGTGAGATGAATGCACACATCACAAACTAGTTTCTCAGAATGTTTCTGCCTGGTTCTCATGCGAAGATAGTTCCTTTTTCACCATAGGCCGCAATGTACTCCAAATATCCACCTGCAGATTCTACAAAAGTGAGTTTCAAAACTGCTCTATCAAAAGATCAGTTCGTCTCTGTGAGTTGAATGCATACATCAAAAAGAAGCTTCTCAAAATGCTTCTGTGTGGTTTTTCGGTGAAGATAGTTCTTTTTCTACCATAGGTCTCAAACCACTCCAAATATCCACTTGTAGATTCTATAAAAAGGAATGTTCAAAATTGCTCAATAAAAATAAAGTTTCAACACCGTGAGATGAGTGCACAAATCACAAAGGAGTTTCTCAAAATGCTTCTGGGTAGTTTTTCTGTGAAGATAGTTCCTTTTCTACCATGGGCCACAAAGGGCTCCAAATACCCACTTGCAGATTCTACAAAAAGAGAGTTTCACAACTGCTCTATCAAACAATATGTTCAACTTTGTGGGTTGAACACAAATATCACAAGAATTTTCTCCCAATGCTTCTGTGTAGTTTTTATGTGAAGACATTTCTTTTCCCTCCATAGTCCACAAAGTGCTCCAAATATCCACTTACATATTCTAGAAAAAGATTGCTTGGAAACTGCACAATGAAAAGAAAGGTTCAAATATATGAGATGAATGCACACATCACAAAGAAGTTTCTCAGAATCTCTCTGTGTAATTTTTATGTGAAGATATTTCCTTTCCCACCTTAGGTCTTAAAACGCTCCAAATATCCACTTGCAGATACTACAAGAAGATTGTTTCAAAACTGCACAAAAAAAGAAATGTTCAATTCTGTTTGATGAATGCACACATCACAAAGAAGTTTCTCAGAATGCTTCTCTGTAGTTTTTATGTGAAGATATTTCCTTTTCCACAATAGGCCTCAAAGGGCTCCAAATATCCACTTCCAGATTCTATGAAAAGAATATTTCCAAACTGCTCAATCATAGGAAATGTTCAACTCTGTGAGATGAATGCACACATCACAAGAAATTTCTCAGAATCCTTCAGTGTAGGTTTTATGAGAAGATAATTCCTTTTCCACAATAGTTCTCAAAGCACTCAAAATATCCACTTGCAGATTCTACAAAAGGAGTATTTCAAAACTGCTCAATCAAAAGAAAGGTTCAACTCTGTGAGATGAATGGACACATCACAAAGAAGTTTCTCAGAATGCTTCTGTGTAGTATTTTTGTGAAGATATTTCTTTTCCACCATAGACCGCCAGGGGACACAAATATCCACTTTCAGATTCTACAACAAGAGAGGTTCAAAACTACTCGATCAAGAGATGGTTTCAACTATGTGAGTTGAATGCACACATCACAAAGAACTATGTCGGAATTCTTCTGTGTAGTTTTTATGTGAAGATATTTCCTTTTCCACAATAGACGTCAAAGTGATCCAGATATCCACTTGCAGATTCCACAAAAAGAGTGTTTCAAAAGTGCACAACCAAAAGAAAGGTTCAACTAGGTGAGATGAATGCACACATCAGAAGGAAGTTTCTCAGAATGCTTCTGCATAGCTTTTAAGGGAAGATACTTCCTTTTCCAACATAGGCCTCAAAGCACTCCAAATATCCTCCTGGAGATACCACAAAAAGAGTGTTTGCAAACTGCTCAATCAAAAGAAAGATTTAACTCTGTGAGATGAATCCACACATGACAAAGAAGTTTCTCAGAATGCTTCTGTGTAGTTTTTATGTGAAGATATTTCCTTTTCCACAATAAGACCCAAAAGGCTCCAAATATTCACTTGCAGATTCTAAAAAAAAACAGTGTTTCAAAACTGCTCAATCAAAAGATAGTTCAACTCTGTGAGAAGAATGCTCACATCACTGAGAAGTTTCTCAGAATGCTTCTGTGTAGTTTTTATATGAAGATATTTCCTTTCCCACCGTAGGCCACAAAAGGCTCCAAATATCCACTTGCAGATACTATGAAAAGAGAGTTTCAAAACTGCTCATTCAAAAGATAGGTTCAACTCTGTGGTTTGAATGCACACAGCACAAAGAAGTTTCACAGAATGTGTCTGTGTAGTTTTTATGTGCGGATGTTTCCTTTTCCACCATATGCCTAAATATTTCCCAATTTCCACTTGCAGATTCTACAAGAAGAGTGTTTCAAAACTGCTGTATCAAATAAAGTTGAACTCTGTGAGGTGAATGCACACAGCACAAAATGGTTTCTCAGAATGCTTCCTTGTTGTTTTTATATGAAGATGTTTCCTTTTCAACAATAGGCCTCAAAGTGCTTCAAATGTCCACTTGCAGATTCTACAAAAAGAGTGTTTCAAAACTGCTCAATCAAAAGAAAGGTTCGACTCTGGGAAATTAATGCACACATCACAAAGAAGTTTCTCAGCTTCTGTGTAGTTTTCATGTGAAGTTATTTCCTTTTCCACAATAGGCCGCAAAGGGCTCCAAATATCAACTTACAGATTCTAGGAAAAGAGAGTTTCAAAACTGCTCTACGAAAAGATAGGTTGAACTCTGTGAGATGAATGCACACATCACAAAGAAGTTTCTCAGAATGCATCTGTGTAGTTTTTACGGGAAGACATTTCCTTTTCCACCATCTTCCACAAAGGTCTCCAAGTAACCACTTGCAGATTCTACAGAAAGACACTTTAAAAACTGCTCTATCAAAAGATCAGTTCAAGTCTGTGGTTTGAATGCACACATCACAAAGAATTTTCTCAGAATGCTTCTGTGTAGTTTTCATATGAAGATATTTCCTTTTCCACCATAGGCCTCAAAGCACTCCAAATATCCACTTGCAGATTCTACAAAAAGAGATTTTCAAAACTAGTCAATCAAAAGAAAGGTTCAACTCTGTCAGTTGAATGCACATATCACAAACAAGTTTCTCGGAATGCGTCTGTGTAGTTTTTATGTGAAGATATTTCCTTCTCCACAACAGGCCTCAAAGTGCTCCGAATATCCACTTGCAGATTTTACTAAAGAGTGTTTCCAAACTGCTCAATCAAGAGGAAGTTTCAAGTCTGTGAGCTGAACGCACACATCACAAAGTAGTTTCTGAGAATGCTTCTGTGTAGTTTTTATGTGAAGATGTTTCCTTTTCCACCATAGGCTGCAAAGGGCTCCAAATATCCACTTGCAGATTCTACAAAAAGAGAGTTTCAAAAGTGCTCTATCAAAAGATAGGTTCAACTATGTGATATGAATGCACACATCACAAAGTAGTTTCTCAGAATGCTTCTGTGTAGTTTTTATGTAAAGATATTTCCTTTTCCACCATAGGCCTCAAAGCACTCCAAATATCCACTTGCAGATTCTACAAAAAGAGATTTTCAAAACTATTTAATCAAAAGAAAGGTTCAAATCTGTCAGTTGAAGGTACATATCACAAACAAGTTTATTGGAATGCTTCTGTGTAGTTTTTATGTGAAGATATTTCCTTTTCCACAACAGGCCTCAAGGTGCTCCAAATATCCACTTGCAGATTTCACTAAAAGTGTGTTTCCAAGCTGCTCAATCAAGAGGAAGTTTCAAGTCTGTGAGGTGAATGCACACATTACAAAGAAGTTACTGAGAATGCTTCTGTGTAGTTTTTATGTGAAGATATTTCCTTTTCCACCGCAGGCCTCAAAGCGCTGCAAATATCCACTTGCAGATTCTACAAAAAGAGAGTTTCAAAACTGCTGTATCAAAAGATAGGGTCAACTCTGCGAGTTGAATAAACACATCACAAATAAGTTTCTGGGAACGCTTCTGTATAGTTTTATGTGAATATATTTCCTTTTCCACCATATGCCTCAAAGCACTCCAAATATCCACTTGCACATTATAGAAACATAGTCTTTCAAAACTTGTCAATCAAAGAAAGGTTCAACTCCGTGAGATGAGTGCACACATCACAGAGAAGTTTCTCGGAATGTTTCTGTGTAGTTTTTATGTGAAGATATTGCCTTTTCCACAATAGGCCTCAAAGCGTTCCAAATATCCAATTGCAGATTCCACAAAAAAAGTTTTTTAAAACTGCTCAATCAAATGATAGATTAAACTCTGTGAGATTAGTGCACACATGTCAAAAAAGTTTCTCAGAATGCTTCTGTGTACTTTTTAGGGGAAGATATTTCCTTTTCCACCATCGGTCACAAAGGACTCCAAATAACCACATGCAGATTCTAGTAACACAGAGTTTCAAAACTGCTCTATCAAAAGATAAGTTCAACTCTGAGAGTTTAGTGCAACCATCGTGAAGAAGTTTCTCAGAATGCTTCTGAGTAGTGTTTATGTGAAGATATTTCCTTTTCCACCATAGGCCTGAAAGCCCTCCAAATATCCACTTGCAGATCCTACAAAAAGAAAGTTTCGAAATGCTCTCTCAAACGATAGTTTCGACTCTGTGGTATGAATACACACATCACAAAGAAGTTTCTCAGAATGCTTCTGTGTAGTTTTTAAATGAAGATATTTCTTTTTCCACCATAGGCCTCAAAGCACTCCAAATATGCACTTCCAGATTCTACAAAAAGAGTGTTTCAGAACTGCTCAAACAAAAGGAAGGTTCCAGTCTGAGACAAATGCACACATCAAAAGGTAATTTCTCAGAATGCTTCTGTGTAGTTTTTATGTGAAGATATTTTCCTTTCCACCATAGGCCACAAATGGCTCTAAATACCCACTTGCATTTTCCACAGAAAGAGAGTTTCAAAACTGCTCTACCAAAGGTAAGTTTAACGCTGTGAGTTAAGAACATCACAAAGAAGTTTCTCAGAATGCTTCTGTGTAGTTCTTATGTAAAGATATTTCCTTTTACACAATAGGCAGAAAAGTGCTCCAAATATCCACTTGAAGATTCTACAAAAACCGTGTTTCAAAACTGCCGAATCAAAAGAAAGTTTCAACTCTGTGAGATGAATGCACACATAACAAAGGAGTTTCTCAGAATGCTTCTGTGTAGCTTTTATATGAAGATATTTAGTTTTCCACAACAGGCCTCAAAGCTCTCTCCATATCCACTTGCAGATTCTACCGAAAGAGTGCTTCCAAACTGCTCAATCAAAAGAGACATTCAAATCTGTGAGGTGAATGCAGACATCGTAAAGAAGTTTCTCAGAATGCTTCTGTGTATTTTTTGTGTGAAGTTATTCGTTTTTGCACCATAGGCCTCCAAGCGTTCTAAATATCCACTTCTAGATTCTACAAAAAGAGAGTTTCAAAACTACTCAAACAAAAGGTTCAATTCTGTGAGTTGAAAGCAAACATCACAAAGAAGTTTCTCAGAATGCGTCTGTGTAGTTTTGATGTGAAGATATTTCCTTTTCACAATAGAATGCAAAGGGCTCCAAATATCCACTTGGAGATTCTACAAAAAGAGTTTCAAAACCGCTCTGTCAAATGATAGGTTGAACTCCCGGAGGTGAATACACACATCACAAAGAGGTTTCTCAGCATGCTTCTGTGTAGTTTTTATGTAAACATATTTCCGTTTCTATCATAGGCCTCAAAGTGCTCCAAATATTCACTTGTACATTCTACCAAACGAGTATTTCAAAACTGCTCAATCAAATGGAAGGTTCAAAACTGTGACATGAATGCCCACATCACAAAGTAGTTTCTCAGAATGCTTCTGTGTAGTTTTTATGTGAAGATATTTCCTTTTCCACAACAGCGTGCAAAACGCTTCAAATATGCCCTTAGAGATTCCACAAAAAGAGTGTTTCCAAACTACTCAAATCAAAAAATGATTTCAACTCTGTGAGATGAATGCACACATCACAAACTAGTTTCTCAGAATGTTTCTGCCTGGTTCTCATGCGAAGATAGTTCCTTTTTCACCATAGGCCGCAATGTACTCCAAATATCCACCTGCAGATTCTACAAAAGTGAGTTTCAAAACTGCTCTATCAAAAGATCAGTTCGTCTCTGTGAGTTGAATGCATACATCAAAAAGAAGCTTCTCAAAATGCTTCTGTGTGGTTTTTCGGTGAAGATAGTTCTTTTTCTACCATAGGTCTCAAACCACTCCAAATATCCACTTGTAGATTCTATAAAAAGGAATGTTCAAAATTGCTCAATAAAAATAAAGTTTCAACACCGTGAGATGAGTGCACAAATCACAAAGGAGTTTCTCAAAATGCTTCTGGGTAGTTTTTCTGTGAAGATAGTTCCTTTTCTACCATGGGCCACAAAGGGCTCCAAATACCCACTTGCAGATTCTACAAAAAGAGAGTTTCACAACTGCTCTATCAAACAATATGTTCAACTTTGTGGGTTGAACACAAATATCACAAGAATTTTCTCCCAATGCTTCTGTGTAGTTTTTATGTGAAGACATTTCTTTTCCCTCCATAGTCCACAAAGTGCTCCAAATATCCACTTACATATTCTAGAAAAAGATTGCTTGGAAACTGCACAATGAAAAGAAAGGTTCAAATATATGAGATGAATGCACACATCACAAAGAAGTTTCTCAGAATCTCTCTGTGTAATTTTTATGTGAAGATATTTCCTTTCCCACCTTAGGTCTTAAAACGCTCCAAATATCCACTTGCAGATACTACAAGAAGATTGTTTCAAAACTGCACAAAAAAAGAAATGTTCAATTCTGTTTGATGAATGCACACATCACAAAGAAGTTTCTCAGAATGCTTCTCTGTAGTTTTTATGTGAAGATATTTCCTTTTCCACAATAGGCCTCAAAGGGCTCCAAATATCCACTTCCAGATTCTATGAAAAGAATATTTCCAAACTGCTCAATCATAGGAAATGTTCAACTCTGTGAGATGAATGCACACATCACAAGAAATTTCTCAGAATCCTTCAGTGTAGGTTTTATGAGAAGATAATTCCTTTTCCACAATAGTTCTCAAAGCACTCAAAATATCCACTTGCAGATTCTACAAAAGGAGTATTTCAAAACTGCTCAATCAAAAGAAAGGTTCAACTCTGTGGGATGAATGGACACATCACAAAGAAGTTTCTCAGAATGCTTCTGTGTAGTATTTTTGTGAAGATATTTCTTTTCCACCATAGACCGCCAGGGGACACAAATATCCACTTTCAGATTCTACAACAAGAGAGGTTCAAAACTACTCGATCAAGAGATGGTTTCAACTATGTGAGTTGAATGCACACATCACAAAGAACTATGTCGGAATTCTTCTGTGTAGTTTTTATGTGAAGATATTTCCTTTTCCACAATAGACGTCAAAGTGATCCAGATATCCACTTGCAGATTCCACAAAAAGAGTGTTTCAAAAGTGCACAACCAAAAGAAAGGTTCAACTAGGTGAGATGAATGCACACATCAGAAGGAAGTTTCTCAGAATGCTTCTGCATAGCTTTTAAGGGAAGATACTTCCTTTTCCAACATAGGCCTCAAAGCACTCCAAATATCCTCCTGGAGATACCACAAAAAGAGTGTTTGCAAACTGCTCAATCAAAAGAAAGATTTAACTCTGTGAGATGAATCCACACATGACAAAGAAGTTTCTCAGAATGCTTCTGTGTAGTTTTTATGTGAAGATATTTCCTTTTCCACAATAAGACCCAAAAGGCTCCAAATATTCACTTGCAGATTCTAAAAAAAACAGTGTTTCAAAACTGCTCAATCAAAAGATAGTTCAACTCTGTGAGAAGAATGCTCACATCACTGAGAAGTTTCTCAGAATGCTTCTGTGTAGTTTTTATATGAAGATATTTCCTTTCCCACCGTAGGCCACAAAAGGCTCCAAATATCCACTTGCAGATACTATGAAAAGAGAGTTTCAAAACTGCTCATTCAAAAGATAGGTTCAACTCTGTGGTTTGAATGCACACAGCACAAAGAAGTTTCACAGAATGTGTCTGTGTAGTTTTTATGTGCGGATGTTTCCTTTTCCACCATATGCCTAAATATTTCCCAATTTCCACTTGCAGATTCTACAAGAAGAGTGTTTCAAAACTGCTGTATCAAATAAAGTTGAACTCTGTGAGGTGAATGCACACAGCACAAAATGGTTTCTCAGAATGCTTCCTTGTTGTTTTTATATGAAGATGTTTCCTTTTCAACAATAGGCCTCAAAGTGCTTCAAATGTCCACTTGCAGATTCTACAAAAAGAGTGTTTCAAAACTGCTCAATCAAAAGAAAGGTTCGACTCTGGGAAATTAATGCACACATCACAAAGAAGTTTCTCAGCTTCTGTGTAGTTTTCATGTGAAGTTATTTCCTTTTCCACAATAGGCCGCAAAGGGCTCCAAATATCAACTTACAGATTCTAGGAAAAGAGAGTTTCAAAACTGCTCTACGAAAAGATAGGTTGAACTCTGTGAGATGAATGCACACATCACAAAGAAGTTTCTCAGAATGCATCTGTGTAGTTTTTACGGGAAGACATTTCCTTTTCCACCATCTTCCACAAAGGTCTCCAAGTAACCACTTGCAGATTCTACAGAAAGACACTTTAAAAACTGCTCTATCAAAAGATCAGTTCAAGTCTGTGGTTTGAATGCACACATCACAAAGAATTTTCTCAGAATGCTTCTGTGTAGTTTTCATATGAAGATATTTCCTTTTCCACCATAGGCCTCAAAGCACTCCAAATATCCACTTGCAGATTCTACAAAAAGAGATTTTCAAAACTAGTCAATCAAAAGAAAGGTTCAACTCTGTCAGTTGAATGCACATATCACAAACAAGTTTCTCGGAATGCGTCTGTGTAGTTTTTATGTGAAGATATTTCCTTCTCCACAACAGGCCTCAAAGTGCTCCGAATATCCACTTGCAGATTTTACTAAAGAGTGTTTCCAAACTGCTCAATCAAGAGGAAGTTTCAAGTCTGTGAGCTGAACGCACACATCACAAAGTAGTTTCTGAGAATGCTTCTGTGTAGTTTTTATGTGAAGATGTTTCCTTTTCCACCATAGGCTGCAAAGGGCTCCAAATATCCACTTGCAGATTCTACAAAAAGAGAGTTTCAAAAGTGCTCTATCAAAAGATAGGTTCAACTATGTGATATGAATGCACACATCACAAAGTAGTTTCTCAGAATGCTTCTGTGTAGTTTTTATGTAAAGATATTTCCTTTTCCACCATAGGCCTCAAAGCACTCCAAATATCCACTTGCAGATTCTACAAAAAGAGATTTTCAAAACTATTTAATCAAAAGAAAGGTTCAAATCTGTCAGTTGAAGGTACATATCACAAACAAGTTTATTGGAATGCTTCTGTGTAGTTTTTATGTGAAGATATTTCCTTTTCCACAACAGGCCTCAAGGTGCTCCAAATATCCACTTGCAGATTTCACTAAAAGTGTGTTTCCAAGCTGCTCAATCAAGAGGAAGTTTCAAGTCTGTGAGGTGAATGCACACATTACAAAGAAGTTACTGAGAATGCTTCTGTGTAGTTTTTATGTGAAGATATTTCCTTTTCCACCGCAGGCCTCAAAGCGCTGCAAATATCCACTTGCAGATTCTACAAAAAGAGAGTTTCAAAACTGCTGTATCAAAAGATAGGGTCAACTCTGCGAGTTGAATAAGCACATCACAAATAAGTTTCTGGGAACGCTTCTGTATAGTTTTATGTGAATATATTTCCTTTTCCACCATATGCCTCAAAGCACTCCAAATATCCACTTGCACATTATAGAAACATAGTCTTTCAAAACTTGTCAATCAAAGAAAGGTTCAACTCCGTGAGATGAGTGCACACATCACAGAGAAGTTTCTCGGAATGTTTCTGTGTAGTTTTTATGTGAAGATATTGCCTTTTCCACAATAGGCCTCAAAGCGTTCCAAATATCCAATTGCAGATTCCACAAAAAAAGTTTTTTAAAACTGCTCAATCAAATGATAGATTAAACTCTGTGAGATTAGTGCACACATGTCAAAAAAGTTTCTCAGAATGCTTCTGTGTACTTTTTAGGGGAAGATATTTCCTTTTCCACCATCGGCCACAAAGGACTCCAAATAACCACATGCAGATTCTAGTAACACAGAGTTTCAAAACTGCTCTATCAAAAGATAAGTTCAACTCTGAGAGTTTAGTGCAACCATCGTGAAGAAGTTTCTCAGAATGCTTCTGAGTAGTGTTTATGTGAAGATATTTCCTTTTCCACCATAGGCCTGAAAGCCCTCCAAATATCCACTTGCAGATCCTACAAAAAGAAAGTTTCGAAATGCTCTCTCAAACGATAGTTTCGACTCTGTGGTATGAATACACACATCACAAAGAAGTTTCTCAGAATGCTTCTGTGTAGTTTTTAAATGAAGATATTTCTTTTTCCACCATAGGCCTCAAAGCACTCCAAATATGCACTTCCAGATTCTACAAAAAGAGTGTTTCAGAACTGCTCAATCAAAAGGAAGGTTCCAGTCTGAGACAAATACACACATCAAAAGGTAGTTTCTCAGAATGCTTCTGTGTAGTTTTTATGTGAAGATATTTTCCTTTCCACCATAGGCCACAAATGGCTCTAAATACCCACTTACATTTTCCACAAAAAGAGAGTTTCAAAACTGCTCTACCAAAGGTAAGTTTAACGCTGTGAGTTAAGAACATCACAAAGAAGTTTCTCAGAATGCTTCTGTGTAGTTCTTACGTAAAGATATTTCCTTTTACACAATAGGCAGAAAAGTGCTCCAAATATCCACTTGAAGATTCTACAGAAACCGTGTTTCAAAACTGCCGAATCAAAAGAAAGGTTCAACTCTGTGAGATGAATGCACACATAACAAAGGAGTTTCTCAGAATGCTTCTGTGTAGCTTTTATATGAAGACATTTAGTTTTCCACAACAGGCCTCAAAGCTCTCTCCATATCCACTTGCAGATTCTACCGAAAGAGTGCTTCCAAACTGCTCAATCAAAAGAGACATTCAAATCTGTGAGGTGAATGCAGACATCGTAAAGAAGTTTCTCAGAATGCTTCTGTGTATTTTTTGTGTGAAGTTATTCGTTTTTGCACCATAGGCCTCCAAGCGTTCTAAATATCCACTTCTAGATTCTACAAAAAGAGAGTTTCAAAACTACTCAAACAAAAGGTTCAATTCTGTGAGTTGAAAGCAAACATCACAAAGAAGTTTCTCAGAATGCGTCTGTGTAGTTTTGATGTGAAGATATTTCCTTTTCACAGTAGAATGCAAAGGGCTCCAAATATCCACTTGGAGATTCTACAAAAAGAGTTTCAAAACCGCTCTGTCAAATGATAGGTTGAACTCCCGGAGGTGAATACACACATCACAAAGAGGTTTCTCAGCATGCTTCTGTGTAGTTTTTATGTAAACATATTTCCGTTTCTATCATAGGCCTCAAAGTGCTCCAAATATTCACTTGTACATTCTACCAAACGAGTATTTCAAAACTGCTCAATCAAACGGAAGGTTCAAAACCGTGACATGAATGCCCACATCACAAAGTAGTTTCTCAGAATGCTTCTGTGTAGTTTTTATGTGAAGATATTTCCTTTTCCACAACAGCGTGCAAAACGCTTCAAATATGCCCTTAGAGATTCCACAAAAAGAGTGTTTCCAAACTACTCAAATCAAAAAATGATTTCAACTCTGTGAGATGAATGCACACATCACAAACTAGTTTCTCAGAATGTTTCTGCCTGGTTCTCATGCGAAGATAGTTCCTTTTTCACCATAGGCCGCAATGTACTCCAAATATCCACCTGCAGATTCTACAAAAGTGAGTTTCAAAACTGCTCTATCAAAAGATCAGTTCGTCTCTGTGAGTTGAATGCATACATCAAAAAGAAGCTTCTCAAAATGCTTCTGTGTGGTTTTTCGGTGAAGATAGTTCTTTTTCTACCATAGGTCTCAAACCACTCCAAATATCCACTTGTAGATTCTATAAAAAGGAATGTTCAAAATTGCTCAATAAAAATAAAGTTTCAACACCGTGAGATGAGTGCACAAATCACAAAGGAGTTTCTCAAAATGCTTCTGGGTAGTTTTTCTGTGAAGATAGTTCCTTTTCTACCATGGGCCACAAAGGGCTCCAAATACCCACTTGCAGATTCTACAAAAAGAGAGTTTCACAACTGCTCTATCAAACAATATGTTCAACTTTGTGGGTTGAACACAAATATCACAAGAATTTTCTCCCAATGCTTCTGTGTAGTTTTTATGTGAAGACATTTCTTTTCCCTCCATAGTCCACAAAGTGCTCCAAATATCCACTTACATATTCTAGAAAAAGATTGCTTGGAAACTGCACAATGAAAAGAAAGGTTCAAATATATGAGATGAATGCACACATCACAAAGAAGTTTCTCAGAATCTCTCTGTGTAATTTTTATGTGAAGATATTTCCTTTCCCACCTTAGGTCTTAAAACGCTCCAAATATCCACTTGCAGATACTACAAGAAGATTGTTTCAAAACTGCACAAAAAAAGAAATGTTCAATTCTGTTTGATGAATGCACACATCACAAAGAAGTTTCTCAGAATGCTTCTCTGTAGTTTTTATGTGAAGATATTTCCTTTTCCACAATAGGCCTCAAAGGGCTCCAAATATCCACTTCCAGATTCTATGAAAAGAATATTTCCAAACTGCTCAATCATAGGAAATGTTCAACTCTGTGAGATGAATGCACACATCACAAGAAATTTCTCAGAATCCTTCAGTGTAGGTTTTATGAGAAGATAATTCCTTTTCCACAATAGTTCTCAAAGCACTCAAAATATCCACTTGCAGATTCTACAAAAGGAGTATTTCAAAACTGCTCAATCAAAAGAAAGGTTCAACTCTGTGGGATGAATGGACACATCACAAAGAAGTTTCTCAGAATGCTTCTGTGTAGTATTTTTGTGAAGATATTTCTTTTCCACCATAGACCGCCAGGGGACACAAATATCCACTTTCAGATTCTACAACAAGAGAGGTTCAAAACTACTCGATCAAGAGATGGTTTCAACTATGTGAGTTGAATGCACACATCACAAAGAACTATGTCGGAATTCTTCTGTGTAGTTTTTATGTGAAGATATTTCCTTTTCCACAATAGACGTCAAAGTGATCCAGATATCCACTTGCAGATTCCACAAAAAGAGTGTTTCAAAAGTGCACAACCAAAAGAAAGGTTCAACTAGGTGAGATGAATGCACACATCAGAAGGAAGTTTCTCAGAATGCTTCTGCATAGCTTTTAAGGGAAGATACTTCCTTTTCCAACATAGGCCTCAAAGCACTCCAAATATCCTCCTGGAGATACCACAAAAAGAGTGTTTGCAAACTGCTCAATCAAAAGAAAGATTTAACTCTGTGAGATGAATCCACACATGACAAAGAAGTTTCTCAGAATGCTTCTGTGTAGTTTTTATGTGAAGATATTTCCTTTTCCACAATAAGACCCAAAAGGCTCCAAATATTCACTTGCAGATTCTAAAAAAAAACAGTGTTTCAAAACTGCTCAATCAAAAGATAGTTCAACTCTGTGAGAAGAATGCTCACATCACTGAGAAGTTTCTCAGAATGCTTCTGTGTAGTTTTTATATGAAGATATTTCCTTTCCCACCGTAGGCCACAAAAGGCTCCAAATATCCACTTGCAGATACTATGAAAAGAGAGTTTCAAAACTGCTCATTCAAAAGATAGGTTCAACTCTGTGGTTTGAATGCACACAGCACAAAGAAGTTTCACAGAATGTGTCTGTGTAGTTTTTATGTGCGGATGTTTCCTTTTCCACCATATGCCTAAATATTTCCCAATTTCCACTTGCAGATTCCACAAGAAGAGTGTTTCAAAACTGCTGTATCAAATAAAGTTGAACTCTGTGAGGTGAATGCACACAGCACAAAATGGTTTCTCAGAATGCTTCCTTGTTGTTTTTATATGAAGATGTTTCCTTTTCAACAATAGGCCTCAAAGTGCTTCAAATGTCCACTTGCAGATTCTACAAAAAGAGTGTTTCAAAACTGCTCAATCAAAAGAAAGGTTCGACTCTGGGAAATTAATGCACACATCACAAAGAAGTTTCTCAGGCTTCTTCTGTGTAGTTTTCATGTGAAGTTATTTCCTTTTCCACAATAGGCCGCAAAGGGCTCCAAATATCAACTTACAGATTCTAGGAAAAGAGAGTTTCAAAACTGCTCTACGAAAAGATAGGTTGAACTCTGTGAGATGAATGCACACATCACAAAGAAGTTTCTCAGAATGCATCTGTGTAGTTTTTACGGGAAGATATTTCCTTTTCCACCATCTTCCACAAAGGTCTCCAAGTAACCACTTGCAGATTCTACAGAAAGACACTTTAAAAACTGCTCTATCAAAAGATCAGTTCAAGTCTGTGGTTTGAATGCACACATCACAAAGAATTTTCTCAGAATGCTTCTGTGTAGTTTTCATATGAAGATATTTCCTTTTCCACCATAGGCCTCAAAGCACTCCAAATATCCACTTGCAGATTCTACAAAAAGAGATTTTCAAAACTAGTCAATCAAAAGAAAGGTTCAACTCTGTCAGTTGAATGCACATATCACAAACAAGTTTCTCGGAATGCGTCTGTGTAGTTTTTATGTGAAGATATTTCCTTCTCCACAACAGGCCTCAAAGTGCTCCGAATATCCACTTGCAGATTTTACTAAAGAGTGTTTCCAAACTGCTCAATCAAGAGGAAGTTTCAAGTCTGTGAGCTGAACGCACACATCACAAAGTAGTTTCTGAGAAGGCTTCTGTGTAGTTTTTATGTGAAGATGTTTCCTTTTCCACCATAGGCTGCAAAGGGCTCCAAATATCCACTTGCAGATTCTACAAAAAGAGAGTTTCAAAAGTGCTCTATCAAAAGATAGGTTCAACTATGTGATATGAATGCACACATCACAAAGTAGTTTCTCAGAATGCTTCTGTGTAGTTTTTATGTAAAGATATTTCCTTTTCCACCATAGGCCTCAAAGCACTCCAAATATCCACTTGCAGATTCTACAAAAAGAGATTTTCAAAACTATTTAATCAAAAGAAAGGTTCAAATCTGTCAGTTGAAGGTACATATCACAAACAAGTTTATTGGAATGCTTTCTGTGTAGTTTTTATGTGAAGATATTTCCTTTTCCACAACAGGCCTCAAGGTGCTCCAAATATCCACTTGCAGATTTCACTAAAAGTGTGTTTCCAAGCTGCTCAATCAAGAGGAAGTTTCAAGTCTGTGAGGTGAATGCACACATTACAAAGAAGTTACTGAGAATGCTTCTGTGTAGTTTTTATGTGAAGATATTTCCTTTTCCACCGCAGGCCTCAAAGCGCTGCAAATATCCACTTGCAGATTCTACAAAAAGAGAGTTTCAAAACTGCTGTATCAAAAGATAGGGTCAACTCTGCGAGTTGAATAAGCACATCACAAATAAGTTTCTGGGAACGCTTCTGTATAGTTTTATGTGAATATATTTCCTTTTCCACCATATGCCTCAAAGCACTCCAAATATCCACTTGCACATTATAGAAACATAGTCTTTCAAAACTTGTCAATCAAAGAAAGGTTCAACTCCGTGAGATGAGTGCACACATCACAGAGAAGTTTCTCGGAATGTTTCTGTGTAGTTTTTATGTGAAGATATTGCCTTTTCCACAATAGGCCTCAAAGCGTTCCAAATATCCAATTGCAGATTCCACAAAAAAAGTTTTTTAAAACTGCTCAATCAAATGATAGATTAAACTCTGTGAGATTAGTGCACACATGTCAAAAAAGTTTCTCAGAATGCTTCTGTGTACTTTTTAGGGGAAGATATTTCCTTTTCCACCATCGGCCACAAAGGACTCCAAATAACCACATGCAGATTCTAGTAACACAGAGTTTCAAAACTGCTCTATCAAAAGATAAGTTCAACTCTGAGAGTTTAGTGCAACCATCGTGAAGAAGTTTCTCAGAATGCTTCTGAGTAGTGTTTATGTGAAGATATTTCCTTTTCCACCATAGGCCTGAAAGCCCTCCAAATATCCACTTGCAGATCCTACAAAAAGAAAGTTTCGAAATGCTCTCTCAAACGATAGTTTCGACTCTGTGGTATGAATACACACACACATCACAAAGAAGTTTCTCAGAATGCTTCTGTGTAGTTTTTAAATGAAGATATTTCTTTTTCCACCATAGGCCTCAAAGCACTCCAAATATGCACTTCCAGATTCTACAAAAAGAGTGTTTCAGAACTGCTCAATCAAAAGGAAGGTTCCAGTCTGAGACAAATACACACATCAAAAGGTAGTTTCTCAGAATGCTTCTGTGTAGTTTTTATGTGAAGATATTTTCCTTTCCACCATAGGCCACAAATGGCTCTAAATACCCACTTACATTTTCCACAAAAAGAGAGTTTCAAAACTGCTCTACCAAAGGTAAGTTTAACGCTGTGAGTTAAGAACATCACAAAGAAGTTTCTCAGAATGCTTCTGTGTAGTTCTTACGTAAAGATATTTCCTTTTACACAATAGGCAGAAAAGTGCTCCAAATATCCACTTGAAGATTCTACAAAAACCGTGTTTCAAAACTGCCGAATCAAAAGAAAGGTTCAACTCTGTGAGATGAATGCACACATAACAAAGGAGTTTCTCAGAATGCTTCTGTGTAGCTTTTATATGAAGACATTTAGTTTTCCACAACAGGCCTCAAAGCTCTCTCCATATCCACTTGCAGATTCTACCGAAAGAGTGCTTCCAAACTGCTCAATCAAAAGAGACATTCAAATCTGTGAGGTGAATGCAGACATCGTAAAGAAGTTTCTCAGAATGCTTCTGTGTATTTTTTGTGTGAAGTTATTCGTTTTTGCACCATAGGCCTCCAAGCGTTCTAAATATCCACTTCTAGATTCTACAAAAAGAGAGTTTCAAAACTACTCAAACAAAAGGTTCAATTCTGTGAGTTGAAAGCAAACATCACAAAGAAGTTTCTCAGAATGCGTCTGTGTAGTTTTGATGTGAAGATATTTCCTTTTCACAGTAGAATGCAAAGGGCTCCAAATATCCACTTGGAGATTCTACAAAAAGAGTTTCAAAACCGCTCTGTCAAATGATAGGTTGAACTCCCGGAGGTGAATACACACATCACAAAGCGGTTTCTCAGCATGCTTCTGTGTAGTTTTTATGTAAACATATTTCCGTTTCTATCATAGGCCTCAAAGTGCTCCAAATATTCACTTGTACATTCTACCAAACGAGTATTTCAAAACTGCTCAATCAAATGGAAGGTTCAAAACCGTGACATGAATGCCCACATCACAAAGTAGTTTCTCAGAATGCTTCTGTGTAGTTTTTATGTGAAGATATTTCCTTTTCCACAACAGCGTGCAAAACGCTTCAAATATGCCCTTAGAGATTCCACAAAAAGAGTGTTTCCAAACTACTCAAATCAAAAAATGATTTCAACTCTGTGAGATGAATGCACACATCACAAACTAGTTTCTCAGAATGTTTCTGCCTGGTTCTCATGCGAAGATAGTTCCTTTTTCACCATAGGCCGCAATGTACTCCAAATATCCACCTGCAGATTCTACAAAAGTGAGTTTCAAAACTGCTCTATCAAAAGATCAGTTCGTCTCTGTGAGTTGAATGCATACATCAAAAAGAAGCTTCTCAAAATGCTTCTGTGTGGTTTTTCGGTGAAGATAGTTCTTTTTCTACCATAGGTCTCAAACCACTCCAAATATCCACTTGTAGATTCTATAAAAAGGAATGTTCAAAATTGCTCAATAAAAATAAAGTTTCAACACCGTGAGATGAGTGCACAAATCACAAAGGAGTTTCTCAAAATGCTTCTGGGTAGTTTTTCTGTGAAGAAGTTCCTTTTCTACCATGGGCCACAAAGGGCTCCAAATACCCACTTGCAGATTCTACAAAAAGAGAGTTTCACAACTGCTCTATCAAACAATATGTTCAACTTTGTGGGTTGAACACAAATATCACAAGAATTTTCTCCCAATGCTTCTGTGTAGTTTTTATGTGAAGACATTTCTTTTCCCTCCATAGTCCACAAAGTGCTCCAAATATCCACTTACATATTCTAGAAAAAGATTGCTTGGAAACTGCACAATGAAAAGAAAGGTTCAAATATATGAGATGAATGCACACATCACAAAGAAGTTTCTCAGAATCTCTCTGTGTAATTTTTATGTGAAGATATTTCCTTTCCCACCTTAGGTCTTAAAACGCTCCAAATATCCACTTGCAGATACTACAAGAAGATTGTTTCAAAACTGCACAAAAAAAGAAATGTTCAATTCTGTTTGATGAATGCACACATCACAAAGAAGTTTCTCAGAATGCTTCTCTGTAGTTTTTATGTGAAGATATTTCCTTTTCCACAATAGGCCTCAAAGGGCTCCAAATATCCACTTCCAGATTCTATGAAAAGAATATTTCCAAACTGCTCAATCATAGGAAATGTTCAACTCTGTGAGATGAATGCACACATCACAAGAAATTTCTCAGAATCCTTCAGTGTAGGTTTTATGAGAAGATAATTCCTTTTCCACAATAGTTCTCAAAGCACTCAAAATATCCACTTGCAGATTCTACAAAAGGAGTATTTCAAAACTGCTCAATCAAAAGAAAGGTTCAACTCTGTGAGATGAATGGACACATCACAAAGAAGTTTCTCAGAATGCTTCTGTGTAGTATTTTTGTGAAGATATTTCTTTTCCACCATAGACCGCCAGGGGACACAAATATCCACTTTCAGATTCTACAACAAGAGAGGTTCAAAACTACTCGATCAAGAGATGGTTTCAACTATGTGAGTTGAATGCACACATCACAAAGAACTATGTCGGAATTCTTTCTGTGTAGTTTTTATGTGAAGATATTTCCTTTTCCACAATAGACGTCAAAGTGATCCAGATATCCACTTGCAGATTCCACAAAAAGAGTGTTTCAAAAGTGCACAACCAAAAGAAAGGTTCAACTAGGTGAGATGAATGCACACATCAGAAGGAAGTTTCTCAGAATGCTTCTGCATAGCTTTTAAGGGAAGATACTTCCTTTTCCAACATAGGCCTCAAAGCACTCCAAATATCCTCCTGGAGATACCACAAAAAGAGTGTTTGCAAACTGCTCAATCAAAAGAAAGATTTAACTCTGTGAGATGAATCCACACATGACAAAGAAGTTTCTCAGAATGCTTCTGTGTAGTTTTTATGTGAAGATATTTCCTTTTCCACAATAAGACCCAAAAGGCTCCAAATATTCACTTGCAGATTCTAAAAAAAAACAGTGTTTCAAAACTGCTCAATCAAAAGATAGTTCAACTCTGTGAGAAGAATGCTCACATCACTGAGAAGTTTCTCAGAATGCTTCTGTGTAGTTTTTATATGAAGATATTTCCTTTCCCACCGTAGGCCACAAAAGGCTCCAAATATCCACTTGCAGATACTATGAAAAGAGAGTTTCAAAACTGCTCATTCAAAAGATAGGTTCAACTCTGTGGTTTGAATGCACACAGCACAAAGAAGTTTCACAGAATGTGTCTGTGTAGTTTTTATGTGCGGATGTTTCCTTTTCCACCATATGCCTAAATATTTCCCAATTTCCACTTGCAGATTCCACAAGAAGAGTGTTTCAAAACTGCTGTATCAAATAAAGTTGAACTCTGTGAGGTGAATGCACACAGCACAAAATGGTTTCTCAGAATGCTTCCTTGTTGTTTTTATATGAAGATGTTTCCTTTTCAACAATAGGCCTCAAAGTGCTTCAAATGTCCACTTGCAGATTCTACAAAAAGAGTGTTTCAAAACTGCTCAATCAAAAGAAAGGTTCGACTCTGGGAAATTAATGCACACATCACAAAGAAGTTTCTCAGCTTCTGTGTAGTTTTCATGTGAAGTTATTTCCTTTTCCACAATAGGCCGCAAAGGGCTCCAAATATCAACTTACAGATTCTAGGAAAAGAGAGTTTCAAAACTGCTCTATGAAAAGATAGGTTGAACTCTGTGAGATGAATGCACACATCACAAAGAAGTTTCTCAGAATGCATCTGTGTAGTTTTTACGGGAAGACATTCTCCTTTTCCACCATCTTCCACAAAGGTCTCCAAGTAACCACTTGCAGATTCTACAGAAAGACACTTTAAAAACTGCTCTATCAAAAGATCAGTTCAAGTCTGTGGTTTGAATGCACACATCACAAAGAATTTTCTCAGAATGCTTCTGTGTAGTTTTCATATGAAGATATTTCCTTTTCCACCATAGGCCTCAAAGCACTCCAAATATCCACTTGCAGATTCTACAAAAAGAGATTTTCAAAACTAGTCAATCAAAAGAAAGGTTCAACTCTGTCAGTTGAATGCACATATCACAAACAAGTTTCTCGGAATGCGTCTGTGTAGTTTTTATGTGAAGATATTTCCTTCTCCACAACAGGCCTCAAAGTGCTCCGAATATCCACTTGCAGATTTTACTAAAGAGTGTTTCCAAACTGCTCAATCAAGAGGAAGTTTCAAGTCTGTGAGCTGAACGCACACATCACAAAGTAGTTTCTGAGAATGCTTCTGTGTAGTTTTTATGTGAAGATGTTTCCTTTTCCACCATAGGCTGCAAAGGGCTCCAAATATCCACTTGCAGATTCTACAAAAAGAGAGTTTCAAAAGTGCTCTATCAAAAGATAGGTTCAACTATGTGATATGAATGCACACATCACAAAGTAGTTTCTCAGAATGCTTCTGTGTAGTTTTTATGTAAAGATATTTCCTTTTCCACCATAGGCCTCAAAGCACTCCAAATATCCACTTGCAGATTCTACAAAAAGAGATTTTCAAAACTATTTAATCAAAAGAAAGGTTCAAATCTGTCAGTTGAAGGTACATATCACAAACAAGTTTATTGGAATGCTTCTGTGTAGTTTTTATGTGAAGATATTTCCTTTTCCACAACAGGCCTCAAGGTGCTCCAAATATCCACTTGCAGATTTCACTAAAAGTGTGTTTCCAAGCTGCTCAATCAAGAGGAAGTTTCAAGTCTGTGAGGTGAATGCACACATTACAAAGAAGTTACTGAGAATGCTTCTGTGTAGTTTTTATGTGAAGATATTTCCTTTTCCACCGCAGGCCTCAAAGCGCTGCAAATATCCACTTGCAGATTCTACAAAAAGAGAGTTTCAAAACTGCTGTATCAAAAGATAGGGTCAACTCTGCGAGTTGAATAAGCACATCACAAATAAGTTTCTGGGAACGCTTCTGTATAGTTTTATGTGAATATATTTCCTTTTCCACCATATGCCTCAAAGCACTCCAAATATCCACTTGCACATTATAGAAACATAGTCTTTCAAAACTTGTCAATCAAAGAAAGGTTCAACTCCGTGAGATGAGTGCACACATCACAGAGAAGTTTCTCGGAATGTTTCTGTGTAGTTTTTATGTGAAGATATTGCCTTTTCCACAATAGGCCTCAAAGCGTTCCAAATATCCAATTGCAGATTCCACAAAAAAAGTTTTTTAAAACTGCTCAATCAAATGATAGATTAAACTCTGTGAGATTAGTGCACACATGTCAAAAAAGTTTCTCAGAATGCTTCTGTGTACTTTTTAGGGGAAGATATTTCCTTTTCCACCATCGGCCACAAAGGACTCCAAATAACCACATGCAGATTCTAGTAACACAGAGTTTCAAAACTGCTCTATCAAAAGATAAGTTCAACTCTGAGAGTTTAGTGCAACCATCGTGAAGAAGTTTCTCAGAATGCTTCTGAGTAGTGTTTATGTGAAGATATTTCCTTTTCCACCATAGGCCTGAAAGCCCTCCAAATATCCACTTGCAGATCCTACAAAAAGAAAGTTTCGAAATGCTCTCTCAAACGATAGTTTCGACTCTGTGGTATGAATACACACACACATCACAAAGAAGTTTCTCAGAATGCTTCTGTGTAGTTTTTAAATGAAGATATTTCTTTTTCCACCATAGGCCTCAAAGCACTCCAAATATGCACTTCCAGATTCTACAAAAAGAGTGTTTCAGAACTGCTCAATCAAAAGGAAGGTTCCAGTCTGAGACAAATACACACATCAAAAGGTAGTTTCTCAGAATGCTTCTGTGTAGTTTTTATGTGAAGATATTTTCCTTTCCACCATAGGCCACAAATGGCTCTAAATACCCACTTACATTTTCCACAAAAAGAGAGTTTCAAAACTGCTCTACCAAAGGTAAGTTTAACGCTGTGAGTTAAGAACATCACAAAGAAGTTTCTCAGAATGCTTCTGTGTAGTTCTTACGTAAAGATATTTCCTTTTACACAATAGGCAGAAAAGTGCTCCAAATATCCACTTGAAGATTCTACAGAAACCGTGTTTCAAAACTGCCGAATCAAAAGAAAGGTTCAACTCTGTGAGATGAATGCACACATAACAAAGGAGTTTCTCAGAATGCTTCTGTGTAGCTTTTATATGAAGACATTTAGTTTTCCACAACAGGCCTCAAAGCTCTCTCCATATCCACTTGCAGATTCTACCGAAAGAGTGCTTCCAAACTGCTCAATCAAAAGAGACATTCAAATCTGTGAGGTGAATGCAGACATCGTAAAGAAGTTTCTCAGAATGCTTTCTGTGTATTTTTTGTGTGAAGTTATTCGTTTTTGCACCATAGGCCTCCAAGCGTTCTAAATATCCACTTCTAGATTCTACAAAAAGAGAGTTTCAAAACTACTCAAACAAAAGGTTCAATTCTGTGAGTTGAAAGCAAACATCACAAAGAAGTTTCTCAGAATGCGTCTGTGTAGTTTTGATGTGAAGATATTTCCTTTTCACAGTAGAATGCAAAGGGCTCCAAATATCCACTTGGAGATTCTACAAAAAGAGTTTCAAAACCGCTCTGTCAAATGATAGGTTGAACTCCCGGAGGTGAATACACACATCACAAAGAGGTTTCTCAGCATGCTTCTGTGTAGTTTTTATGTAAACATATTTCCGTTTCTATCATAGGCCTCAAAGTGCTCCAAATATTCACTTGTACATTCTACCAAACGAGTATTTCAAAACTGCTCAATCAAATGGAAGGTTCAAAACCGTGACATGAATGCCCACATCACAAAGTAGTTTCTCAGAATGCTTCTGTGTAGTTTTTATGTGAAGATATTTCCTTTTCCACAACAGCGTGCAAAACGCTTCAAATATGCCCTTAGAGATTCCACAAAAAGAGTGTTTCCAAACTACTCAAATCAAAAAATGATTTCAACTCTGTGAGATGAATGCACACATCACAAACTAGTTTCTCAGAATGTTTCTGCCTGGTTCTCATGCGAAGATAGTCCTTTTTCACCATAGGCCGCAATGTACTCCAAATATCCACCTGCAGATTCTACAAAAGTGAGTTTCAAAACTGCTCTATCAAAAGATCAGTTCGTCTCTGTGAGTTGAATGCATACATCAAAAAGAAGCTTCTCAAAATGCTTCTGTGTGGTTTTTCGGTGAAGATAGTTCTTTTTCTACCATAGGTCTCAAACCACTCCAAATATCCACTTGTAGATTCTATAAAAAGGAATGTTCAAAATTGCTCAATAAAAATAAAGTTTCAACACCGTGAGATGAGTGCACAAATCACAAAGGAGTTTCTCAAAATGCTTCTGGGTAGTTTTTCTGTGAAGATAGTTCCTTTTCTACCATGGGCCACAAAGGGCTCCAAATACCCACTTGCAGATTCTACAAAAAGAGAGTTTCACAACTGCTCTATCAAACAATATGTTCAACTTTGTGGGTTGAACACAAATATCACAAGAATTTTCTCCCAATGCTTCTGTGTAGTTTTTATGTGAAGACATTTCTTTTCCCTCCATAGTCCACAAAGTGCTCCAAATATCCACTTACATATTCTAGAAAAAGATTGCTTGGAAACTGCACAATGAAAAGAAAGGTTCAAATATATGAGATGAATGCACACATCACAAAGAAGTTTCTCAGAATCTCTCTGTGTAATTTTTATGTGAAGATATTTCCTTTCCCACCTTAGGTCTTAAAACGCTCCAAATATCCACTTGCAGATACTACAAGAAGATTGCTTCAAAACTGCACAAAAAAAGAAATGTTCAATTCTGTTTGATGAATGCACACATCACAAAGAAGTTTCTCAGAATGCTTCTCTGTAGTTTTTATGTGAAGATATTTCCTTTTCCACAATAGGCCTCAAAGGGCTCCAAATATCCACTTCCAGATTCTATGAAAAGAATATTTCCAAACTGCTCAATCATAGGAAATGTTCAACTCTGTGAGATGAATGCACACATCACAAGAAATTTCTCAGAATACTTCAGTGTAGGTTTTATGAGAAGATAATTCCTTTTCCACAATAGTTCTCAAAGCACTCAAAATATCCACTTGCAGATTCTACAAAAGGAGTATTTCAAAACTGCTCAATCAAAAGAAAGGTTCAACTCTGTGAGATGAATGGACACATCACAAAGAAGTTTCTCAGAATGCTTCTGTGTAGTATTTTTGTGAAGATATTTCTTTTCCACCATAGACCGCCAGGGGACACAAATATCCACTTTCAGATTCTACAACAAGAGAGGTTCAAAACTACTCGATCAAGAGATGGTTTCAACTATGTGAGTTGAATGCACACATCACAAAGAACTATGTCGGAATTCTTCTGTGTAGTTTTTATGTGAAGATATTTCCTTTTCCACAATAGACGTCAAAGTGATCCAGATATCCACTTGCAGATTCCACAAAAAGAGTGTTTCAAAAGTGCACAACCAAAAGAAAGGTTCAACTAGGTGAGATGAATGCACACATCAGAAGGAAGTTTCTCAGAATGCTTCTGCATAGCTTTTAAGGGAAGATACTTCCTTTTCCAACATAGGCCTCAAAGCACTCCAAATATCCTCCTGGAGATACCACAAAAAGAGTGTTTGCAAACTGCTCAATCAAAAGAAAGATTTAACTCTGTGAGATGAATCCACACATGACAAAGAAGTTTCTCAGAATGCTTCTGTGTAGTTTTTATGTGAAGATATTTCCTTTTCCACAATAAGACCCAAAAGGCTCCAAATATTCACTTGCAGATTCTAAAAAAAAACAGTGTTTCAAAACTGCTCAATCAAAAGATAGTTCAACTCTGTGAGAAGAATGCTCACATCACTGAGAAGTTTCTCAGAATGCTTCTGTGTAGTTTTTATATGAAGATATTTCCTTTCCCACCGTAGGCCACAAAAGGCTCCAAATATCCACTTGCAGATACTATGAAAAGAGAGTTTCAAAACTGCTCATTCAAAAGATAGGTTCAACTCTGTGGTTTGAATGCACACAGCACAAAGAAGTTTCACAGAATGTGTCTGTGTAGTTTTTATGTGCGGATGTTTCCTTTTCCACCATATGCCTAAATATTTCCCAATTTCCACTTGCAGATTCTACAAGAAGAGTGTTTCAAAACTGCTGTATCAAATAAAGTTGAACTCTGTGAGGTGAATGCACACAGCACAAAATGGTTTCTCAGAATGCTTCCTTGTTGTTTTTATATGAAGATGTTTCCTTTTCAACAATAGGCCTCAAAGTGCTTCAAATGTCCACTTGCAGATTCTACAAAAAGAGTGTTTCAAAACTGCTCAATCAAAAGAAAGGTTCGACTCTGGGAAATTAATGCACACATCACAAAGAAGTTTCTCAGCTTCTGTGTAGTTTTCATGTGAAGTTATTTCCTTTTCCACAATAGGCCGCAAAGGGCTCCAAATATCAACTTACAGATTCTAGGAAAAGAGAGTTTCAAAACTGCTCTACGAAAAGATAGGTTGAACTCTGTGAGATGAATGCACACATCACAAAGAAGTTTCTCAGAATGCATCTGTGTAGTTTTTACGGGAAGACATTTCCTTTTCCACCATCTTCCACAAAGGTCTCCAAGTAACCACTTGCAGATTCTACAGAAAGACACTTTAAAAACTGCTCTATCAAAAGATCAGTTCAAGTCTGTGGTTTGAATGCACACATCACAAAGAATTTTCTCAGAATGCTTCTGTGTAGTTTTCATATGAAGATATTTCCTTTTCCACCATAGGCCTCAAAGCACTCCAAATATCCACTTGCAGATTCTACAAAAAGAGATTTTCAAAACTAGTCAATCAAAAGAAAGGTTCAACTCTGTCAGTTGAATGCACATATCACAAACAAGTTTCTCGGAATGCGTCTGTGTAGTTTTTATGTGAAGATATTTCCTTCTCCACAACAGGCCTCAAAGTGCTCCGAATATCCACTTGCAGATTTTACTAAAGAGTGTTTCCAAACTGCTCAATCAAGAGGAAGTTTCAAGTCTGTGAGCTGAACGCACACATCACAAAGTAGTTTCTGAGAATGCTTCTGTGTAGTTTTTATGTGAAGATGTTTCCTTTTCCACCATAGGCTGCAAAGGGCTCCAAATATCCACTTGCAGATTCTACAAAAAGAGAGTTTCAAAAGTGCTCTATCAAAAGATAGGTTCAACTATGTGATATGAATGCACACATCACAAAGTAGTTTCTCAGAATGCTTCTGTGTAGTTTTTATGTAAAGATATTTCCTTTTCCACCATAGGCCTCAAAGCACTCCAAATATCCACTTGCAGATTCTACAAAAAGAGATGTTCAAAACTATTTAATCAAAAGAAAGGTTCAAATCTGTCAGTTGAAGGTACATATCACAAACAAGTTTATTGGAATGCTTCTGTGTAGTTTTTATGTGAAGATATTTCCTTTTCCACAACAGGCCTCAAGGTGCTCCAAATATCCACTTGCAGATTTCACTAAAAGTGTGTTTCCAAACTGCTCAATCAAGAGGAAGTTTCAAGTCTGTGAGGTGAATGCACACATTACAAAGAAGTTACTGAGAATGCTTCTGTGTAGTTTTTATGTGAAGATATTTCCTTTTCCACCGCAGGCCTCAAAGCGCTGCAAATATCCACTTGCAGATTCTACAAAAAGAGAGTTTCAAAACTGCTGTATCAAAAGATAGGGTCAACTCTGCGAGTTGAATAAACACATCACAAATAAGTTTCTGGGAACGCTTCTGTATAGTTTTATGTGAATATATTTCCTTTTCCACCATATGCCTCAAAGCACTCCAAATATCCACTTGCACATTATAGAAACATAGTCTTTCAAAACTTGTCAATCAAAGAAAGGTTCAACTCCGTGAGATGAGTGCACACATCACAGAGAAGTTTCTCGGAATGTTTCTGTGTAGTTTTTATGTGAAGATATTGCCTTTTCCACAATAGGCCTCAAAGCGTTCCAAATATCCAATTGCAGATTCCACAAAAAAAGTTTTTTAAAACTGCTCAATCAAATGATAGATTAAACTCTGTGAGATTAGTGCACACATGTCAAAAAAGTTTCTCAGAATGCTTCTGTGTACTTTTTAGGGGAAGATATTTCCTTTTCCACCATCGGCCACAAAGGACTCCAAATAACCACATGCAGATTCTAGTAACACAGAGTTTCAAAACTGCTCTATCAAAAGATAAGTTCAACTCTGAGAGTTTAGTGCAACCATCGTGAAGAAGTTTCTCAGAATGCTTCTGAGTAGTGTTTATGTGAAGATATTTCCTTTTCCACCATAGGCCTGAAAGCCCTCCAAATATCCACTTGCAGATCCTACAAAAAGAAAGTTTCGAAATGCTCTCTCAAACGATAGTTTCGACTCTGTGGTATGAATACACACATCACAAAGAAGTTTCTCAGAATGCTTCTGTGTAGTTTTTAAATGAAGATATTTCTTTTTCCACCATAGGCCTCAAAGCACTCCAAATATGCACTTCCAGATTCTACAAAAAGAGTGTTTCAGAACTGCTCAATCAAAAGGAAGGTTCCAGTCTGAGACAAATACACACATCAAAAGGTAGTTTCTCAGAATGCTTCTGTGTAGTTTTTATGTGAAGATATTTTCCTTTCCACCATAGGCCACAAATGGCTCTAAATACCCACTTACATTTTCCACAAAAAGAGAGTTTCAAAACTGCTCTACCAAAGGTAAGTTTAACGCTGTGAGTTAAGAACATCACAAAGAAGTTTCTCAGAATGCTTCTG
Organism: Homo sapiens; assembly: GCF_000001405.40. Classification (NCBI taxonomy): domain Eukaryota; kingdom Metazoa; phylum Chordata; class Mammalia; order Primates; family Hominidae; genus Homo; species Homo sapiens. The sequence goes on along the minus strand of NC_000024.10, from coordinate 10,386,061 downwards.
TGTAGTTCTTACGTAAAGATATTTCCTTTTACACAATAGGCAGAAAAGTGCTCCAAATATCCACTTGAAGATTCTACAGAAACCGTGTTTCAAAACTGCCGAATCAAAAGAAAGGTTCAACTCTGTGAGATGAATGCACACATAACAAAGGAGTTTCTCAGAATGCTTCTGTGTAGCTTTTATATGAAGACATTTAGTTTTCCACAACAGGCCTCAAAGCTCTCTCCATATCCACTTGCAGATTCTACCGAAAGAGTGCTTCCAAACTGCTCAATCAAAAGAGACATTCAAATCTGTGAGGTGAATGCAGACATCGTAAAGAAGTTTCTCAGAATGCTTCTGTGTATTTTTTGTGTGAAGTTATTCGTTTTTGCACCATAGGCCTCCAAGCGTTCTAAATATCCACTTCTAGATTCTACAAAAAGAGAGTTTCAAAACTACTCAAACAAAAGGTTCAATTCTGTGAGTTGAAAGCAAACATCACAAAGAAGTTTCTCAGAATGCGTCTGTGTAGTTTTGATGTGAAGATATTTCCTTTTCACAATAGAATGCAAAGGGCTCCAAATATCCACTTGGAGATTCTACAAAAAGAGTTTCAAAACCGCTCTGTCAAATGATAGGTTGAACTCCCGGAGGTGAATACACACATCACAAAGAGGTTTCTCAGCATGCTTCTGTGTAGTTTTTATGTAAACATATTTCCGTTTCTATCATAGGCCTCAAAGTGCTCCAAATATTCACTTGTACATTCTACCAAACGAGTATTTCAAAACTGCTCAATCAAATGGAAGGTTCAAAACTGTGACATGAATGCCCACATCACAAAGTAGTTTCTCAGAATGCTTCTGTGTAGTTTTTATGTGAAGATATTTCCTTTTCCACAACAGCGTGCAAAACGCTTCAAATATGCCCTTAGAGATTCCACAAAAAGAGTGTTTCCAAACTACTCAAATCAAAAAATGATTTCAACTCTGTGAGATGAATGCACACATCACAAACTAGTTTCTCAGAATGTTTCTGCCTGGTTCTCATGCGAAGATAGTTCCTTTTTCACCATAGGCCGCAATGTACTCCAAATATCCACCTGCAGATTCTACAAAAGTGAGTTTCAAAACTGCTCTATCAAAAGATCAGTTCGTCTCTGTGAGTTGAATGCATACATCAAAAAGAAGCTTCTCAAAATGCTTCTGTGTGGTTTTTCGGTGAAGATAGTTCTTTTTCTACCATAGGTCTCAAACCACTCCAAATATCCACTTGTAGATTCTATAAAAAGGAATGTTCAAAATTGCTCAATAAAAATAAAGTTTCAACACCGTGAGATGAGTGCACAAATCACAAAGGAGTTTCTCAAAATGCTTCTGGGTAGTTTTTCTGTGAAGATAGTTCCTTTTCTACCATGGGCCACAAAGGGCTCCAAATACCCACTTGCAGATTCTACAAAAAGAGAGTTTCACAACTGCTCTATCAAACAATATGTTCAACTTTGTGGGTTGAACACAAATATCACAAGAATTTTCTCCCAATGCTTCTGTGTAGTTTTTATGTGAAGACATTTCTTTTCCCTCCATAGTCCACAAAGTGCTCCAAATATCCACTTACATATTCTAGAAAAAGATTGCTTGGAAACTGCACAATGAAAAGAAAGGTTCAAATATATGAGATGAATGCACACATCACAAAGAAGTTTCTCAGAATCTCTCTGTGTAATTTTTATGTGAAGATATTTCCTTTCCCACCTTAGGTCTTAAAACGCTCCAAATATCCACTTGCAGATACTACAAGAAGATTGCTTCAAAACTGCACAAAAAAAGAAATGTTCAATTCTGTTTGATGAATGCACACATCACAAAGAAGTTTCTCAGAATGCTTCTCTGTAGTTTTTATGTGAAGATATTTCCTTTTCCACAATAGGCCTCAAAGGGCTCCAAATATCCACTTCCAGATTCTATGAAAAGAATATTTCCAAACTGCTCAATCATAGGAAATGTTCAACTCTGTGAGATGAATGCACACATCACAAGAAATTTCTCAGAATACTTCAGTGTAGGTTTTATGAGAAGATAATTCCTTTTCCACAATAGTTCTCAAAGCACTCAAAATATCCACTTGCAGATTCTACAAAAGGAGTATTTCAAAACTGCTCAATCAAAAGAAAGGTTCAACTCTGTGAGATGAATGGACACATCACAAAGAAGTTTCTCAGAATGCTTCTGTGTAGTATTTTTGTGAAGATATTTCTTTTCCACCATAGACCGCCAGGGGACACAAATATCCACTTTCAGATTCTACAACAAGAGAGGTTCAAAACTACTCGATCAAGAGATGGTTTCAACTATGTGAGTTGAATGCACACATCACAAAGAACTATGTCGGAATTCTTCTGTGTAGTTTTTATGTGAAGATATTTCCTTTTCCACAATAGACGTCAAAGTGATCCAGATATCCACTTGCAGATTCCACAAAAAGAGTGTTTCAAAAGTGCACAACCAAAAGAAAGGTTCAACTAGGTGAGATGAATGCACACATCAGAAGGAAGTTTCTCAGAATGCTTCTGCATAGCTTTTAAGGGAAGATACTTCCTTTTCCAACATAGGCCTCAAAGCACTCCAAATATCCTCCTGGAGATACCACAAAAAGAGTGTTTGCAAACTGCTCAATCAAAAGAAAGATTTAACTCTGTGAGATGAATCCACACATGACAAAGAAGTTTCTCAGAATGCTTCTGTGTAGTTTTTATGTGAAGATATTTCCTTTTCCACAATAAGACCCAAAAGGCTCCAAATATTCACTTGCAGATTCTAAAAAAAACAGTGTTTCAAAACTGCTCAATCAAAAGATAGTTCAACTCTGTGAGAAGAATGCTCACATCACTGAGAAGTTTCTCAGAATGCTTCTGTGTAGTTTTTATATGAAGATATTTCCTTTCCCACCGTAGGCCACAAAAGGCTCCAAATATCCACTTGCAGATACTATGAAAAGAGAGTTTCAAAAGTGCTCATTCAAAAGATAGGTTCAACTCTGTGGTTTGAATGCACACAGCACAAAGAAGTTTCACAGAATGTGTCTGTGTAGTTTTTATGTGCGGATGTTTCCTTTTCCACCATATGCCTAAATATTTCCCAATTTCCACTTGCAGATTCCACAAGAAGAGTGTTTCAAAACTGCTGTATCAAATAAAGTTGAACTCTGTGAGGTGAATGCACACAGCACAAAATGGTTTCTCAGAATGCTTCCTTGTTGTTTTTATATGAAGATGTTTCCTTTTCAACAATAGGCCTCAAAGTGCTTCAAATGTCCACTTGCAGATTCTACAAAAAGAGTGTTTCAAAACTGCTCAATCAAAAGAAAGGTTCGACTCTGGGAAATTAATGCACACATCACAAAGAAGTTTCTCAGCTTCTGTGTAGTTTTCATGTGAAGTTATTTCCTTTTCCACAATAGGCCGCAAAGGGCTCCAAATATCAACTTACAGATTCTAGGAAAAGAGAGTTTCAAAACTGCTCTACGAAAAGATAGGTTGAACTCTGTGAGATGAATGCACACATCACAAAGAAGTTTCTCAGAATGCATCTGTGTAGTTTTTACGGGAAGATATTTCCTTTTCCACCATCTTCCACAAAGGTCTCCAAGTAACCACTTGCAGATTCTACAGAAAGACACTTTAAAAACTGCTCTATCAAAAGATCAGTTCAAGTCTGTGGTTTGAATGCACACATCACAAAGAATTTTCTCAGAATGCTTCTGTGTAGTTTTCATATGAAGATATTTCCTTTTCCACCATAGGCCTCAAAGCACTCCAAATATCCACTTGCAGATTCTACAAAAAGAGATTTTCAAAACTAGTCAATCAAAAGAAAGGTTCAACTCTGTCAGTTGAATGCACATATCACAAACAAGTTTCTCGGAATGCGTCTGTGTAGTTTTTATGTGAAGATATTTCCTTCTCCACAACAGGCCTCAAAGTGCTCCGAATATCCACTTGCAGATTTTACTAAAGAGTGTTTCCAAACTGCTCAATCAAGAGGAAGTTTCAAGTCTGTGAGCTGAACGCACACATCACAAAGTAGTTTCTGAGAATGCTTCTGTGTAGTTTTTATGTGAAGATGTTTCCTTTTCCACCATAGGCTGCAAAGGGCTCCAAATATCCACTTGCAGATTCTACAAAAAGAGAGTTTCAAAAGTGCTCTATCAAAAGATAGGTTCAACTATGTGATATGAATGCACACATCACAAAGTAGTTTCTCAGAATGCTTCTGTGTAGTTTTTATGTAAAGATATTTCCTTTTCCACCATAGGCCTCAAAGCACTCCAAATATCCACTTGCAGATTCTACAAAAAGAGATTTTCAAAACTATTTAATCAAAAGAAAGGTTCAAATCTGTCAGTTGAAGGTACATATCACAAACAAGTTTATTGGAATGCTTCTGTGTAGTTTTTATGTGAAGATATTTCCTTTTCCACAACAGGCCTCAAGGTGCTCCAAATATCCACTTGCAGATTTCACTAAAAGTGTGTTTCCAAGCTGCTCAATCAAGAGGAAGTTTCAAGTCTGTGAGGTGAATGCACACATTACAAAGAAGTTACTGAGAATGCTTCTGTGTAGTTTTTATGTGAAGATATTTCCTTTTCCACCGCAGGCCTCAAAGCGCTGCAAATATCCACTTGCAGATTCTACAAAAAGAGAGTTTCAAAACTGCTGTATCAAAAGATAGGGTCAACTCTGCGAGTTGAATAAGCACATCACAAATAAGTTTCTGGGAACGCTTCTGTATAGTTTTATGTGAATATATTTCCTTTTCCACCATATGCCTCAAAGCACTCCAAATATCCACTTGCACATTATAGAAACATAGTCTTTCAAAACTTGTCAATCAAAGAAAGGTTCAACTCCGTGAGATGAGTGCACACATCACAGAGAAGTTTCTCGGAATGTTTCTGTGTAGTTTTTATGTGAAGATATTGCCTTTTCCACAATAGGCCTCAAAGCGTTCCAAATATCCAATTGCAGATTCCACAAAAAAAGTTTTTTAAAACTGCTCAATCAAATGATAGATTAAACTCTGTGAGATTAGTGCACACATGTCAAAAAAGTTTCTCAGAATGCTTCTGTGTACTTTTTAGGGGAAGATATTTCCTTTTCCACCATCGGCCACAAAGGACTCCAAATAACCACATGCAGATTCTAGTAACACAGAGTTTCAAAACTGCTCTATCAAAAGATAAGTTCAACTCTGAGAGTTTAGTGCAACCATCGTGAAGAAGTTTCTCAGAATGCTTCTGAGTAGTGTTTATGTGAAGATATTTCCTTTTCCACCATAGGCCTGAAAGCCCTCCAAATATCCACTTGCAGATCCTACAAAAAGAAAGTTTCGAAATGCTCTCTCAAACGATAGTTTCGACTCTGTGGTATGAATACACACATCACAAAGAAGTTTCTCAGAATGCTTCTGTGTAGTTTTTAAATGAAGATATTTCTTTTTCCACCATAGGCCTCAAAGCACTCCAAATATGCACTTCCAGATTCTACAAAAAGAGTGTTTCAGAACTGCTCAATCAAAAGGAAGGTTCCAGTCTGAGACAAATACACACATCAAAAGGTAGTTTCTCAGAATGCTTCTGTGTAGTTTTTATGTGAAGATATTTTCCTTTCCACCATAGGCCACAAATGGCTCTAAATACCCACTTACATTTTCCACAAAAAGAGAGTTTCAAAACTGCTCTACCAAAGGTAAGTTTAACGCTGTGAGTTAAGAACATCACAAAGAAGTTTCTCAGAATGCTTCTGTGTAGTTCTTACGTAAAGATATTTCCTTTTACACAATAGGCAGAAAAGTGCTCCAAATATCCACTTGAAGATTCTACAAAAACCGTGTTTCAAAACTGCCGAATCAAAAGAAAGGTTCAACTCTGTGAGATGAATGCACACATAACAAAGGAGTTTCTCAGAATGCTTCTGTGTAGCTTTTATATGAAGACATTTAGTTTTCCACAACAGGCCTCAAAGCTCTCTCCATATCCACTTGCAGATTCTACCGAAAGAGTGCTTCCAAACTGCTCAATCAAAAGAGACATTCAAATCTGTGAGGTGAATGCAGACATCGTAAAGAAGTTTCTCAGAATGCTTCTGTGTATTTTTTGTGTGAAGTTATTCGTTTTTGCACCATAGGCCTCCAAGCGTTCTAAATATCCACTTCTAGATTCTACAAAAAGAGAGTTTCAAAACTACTCAAACAAAAGGTTCAATTCTGTGAGTTGAAAGCAAACATCACAAAGAAGTTTCTCAGAATGCGTCTGTGTAGTTTTGATGTGAAGATATTTCCTTTTCACAGTAGAATGCAAAGGGCTCCAAATATCCACTTGGAGATTCTACAAAAAGAGTTTCAAAACCGCTCTGTCAAATGATAGGTTGAACTCCCGGAGGTGAATACACACATCACAAAGAGGTTTCTCAGCATGCTTCTGTGTAGTTTTTATGTAAACATATTTCCGTTTCTATCATAGGCCTCAAAGTGCTCCAAATATTCACTTGTACATTCTACCAAACGAGTATTTCAAAACTGCTCAATCAAATGGAAGGTTCAAAACCGTGACATGAATGCCCACATCACAAAGTAGTTTCTCAGAATGCTTCTGTGTAGTTTTTATGTGAAGATATTTCCTTTTCCACAACAGCGTGCAAAACGCTTCAAATATGCCCTTAGAGATTCCACAAAAAGAGTGTTTCCAAACTACTCAAATCAAAAAATGATTTCAACTCTGTGAGATGAATGCACACATCACAAACTAGTTTCTCAGAATGTTTCTGCCTGGTTCTCATGCGAAGATAGTTCCTTTTTCACCATAGGCCGCAATGTACTCCAAATATCCACCTGCAGATTCTACAAAAGTGAGTTTCAAAACTGCTCTATCAAAAGATCAGTTCGTCTCTGTGAGTTGAATGCATACATCAAAAAGAAGCTTCTCAAAATGCTTCTGTGTGGTTTTTCGGTGAAGATAGTTCTTTTTCTACCATAGGTCTCAAACCACTCCAAATATCCACTTGTAGATTCTATAAAAAGGAATGTTCAAAATTGCTCAATAAAAATAAAGTTTCAACACCGTGAGATGAGTGCACAAATCACAAAGGAGTTTCTCAAAATGCTTCTGGGTAGTTTTTCTGTGAAGATAGTTCCTTTTCTACCATGGGCCACAAAGGGCTCCAAATACCCACTTGCAGATTCTACAAAAAGAGAGTTTCACAACTGCTCTATCAAACAATATGTTCAACTTTGTGGGTTGAACACAAATATCACAAGAATTTTCTCCCAATGCTTCTGTGTAGTTTTTATGTGAAGACATTTCTTTTCCCTCCATAGTCCACAAAGTGCTCCAAATATCCACTTACATATTCTAGAAAAAGATTGCTTGGAAACTGCACAATGAAAAGAAAGGTTCAAATATATGAGATGAATGCACACATCACAAAGAAGTTTCTCAGAATCTCTCTGTGTAATTTTTATGTGAAGATATTTCCTTTCCCACCTTAGGTCTTAAAACGCTCCAAATATCCACTTGCAGATACTACAAGAAGATTGTTTCAAAACTGCACAAAAAAAGAAATGTTCAATTCTGTTTGATGAATGCACACATCACAAAGAAGTTTCTCAGAATGCTTCTCTGTAGTTTTTATGTGAAGATATTTCCTTTTCCACAATAGGCCTCAAAGGGCTCCAAATATCCACTTCCAGATTCTATGAAAAGAATATTTCCAAACTGCTCAATCATAGGAAATGTTCAACTCTGTGAGATGAATGCACACATCACAAGAAATTTCTCAGAATCCTTCAGTGTAGGTTTTATGAGAAGATAATTCCTTTTCCACAATAGTTCTCAAAGCACTCAAAATATCCACTTGCAGATTCTACAAAAGGAGTATTTCAAAACTGCTCAATCAAAAGAAAGGTTCAACTCTGTGAGATGAATGGACACATCACAAAGAAGTTTCTCAGAATGCTTCTGTGTAGTATTTTTGTGAAGATATTTCTTTTCCACCATAGACCGCCAGGGGACACAAATATCCACTTTCAGATTCTACAACAAGAGAGGTTCAAAACTACTCGATCAAGAGATGGTTTCAACTATGTGAGTTGAATGCACACATCACAAAGAACTATGTCGGAATTCTTCTGTGTAGTATTTATGTGAAGATATTTCCTTTTCCACAATAGACGTCAAAGTGATCCAGATATCCACTTGCAGATTCCACAAAAAGAGTGTTTCAAAAGTGCACAACCAAAAGAAAGGTTCAACTAGGTGAGATGAATGCACACATCAGAAGGAAGTTTCTCAGAATGCTTCTGCATAGCTTTTAAGGGAAGATACTTCCTTTTCCAACATAGGCCTCAAAGCACTCCAAATATCCTCCTGGAGATACCACAAAAAGAGTGTTTGCAAACTGCTCAATCAAAAGAAAGATTTAACTCTGTGAGATGAATCCACACATGACAAAGAAGTTTCTCAGAATGCTTCTGTGTAGTTTTTATGTGAAGATATTTCCTTTTCCACAATAAGACCCAAAAGGCTCCAAATATTCACTTGCAGATTCTAAAAAAAACAGTGTTTCAAAACTGCTCAATCAAAAGATAGTTCAACTCTGTGAGAAGAATGCTCACATCACTGAGAAGTTTGCTCAGAATGCTTCTGTGTAGTTTTTATATGAAGATATTTCCTTTCCCACCGTAGGCCACAAAAGGCTCCAAATATCCACTTGCAGATACTATGAAAAGAGAGTTTCAAAACTGCTCATTCAAAAGATAGGTTCAACTCTGTGGTTTGAATGCACACAGCACAAAGAAGTTTCACAGAATGTGTCTGTGTAGTTTTTATGTGCGGATGTTTCCTTTTCCACCATATGCCTAAATATTTCCCAATTTCCACTTGCAGATTCTACAAGAAGAGTGTTTCAAAACTGCTGTATCAAATAAAGTTGAACTCTGTGAGGTGAATGCACACAGCACAAAATGGTTTCTCAGAATGCTTCCTTGTTGTTTTTATATGAAGATGTTTCCTTTTCAACAATAGGCCTCAAAGTGCTTCAAATGTCCACTTGCAGATTCTACAAAAAGAGTGTTTCAAAACTGCTCAATCAAAAGAAAGGTTCGACTCTGGGAAATTAATGCACACATCACAAAGAAGTTTCTCAGCTTCTGTGTAGTTTTCATGTGAAGTTATTTCCTTTTCCACAATAGGCCGCAAAGGGCTCCAAATATCAACTTACAGATTCTAGGAAAAGAGAGTTTCAAAACTGCTCTACGAAAAGATAGGTTGAACTCTGTGAGATGAATGCACACATCACAAAGAAGTTTCTCAGAATGCATCTGTGTAGTTTTTACGGGAAGACATTTCCTTTTCCACCATCTTCCACAAAGGTCTCCAAGTAACCACTTGCAGATTCTACAGAAAGACACTTTAAAAACTGCTCTATCAAAAGATCAGTTCAAGTCTGTGGTTTGAATGCACACATCACAAAGAATTTTCTCAGAATGCTTCTGTGTAGTTTTCATATGAAGATATTTCCTTTTCCACCATAGGCCTCAAAGCACTCCAAATATCCACTTGCAGATTCTACAAAAAGAGATTTTCAAAACTAGTCAATCAAAAGAAAGGTTCAACTCTGTCAGTTGAATGCACATATCACAAACAAGTTTCTCGGAATGCGTCTGTGTAGTTTTTATGTGAAGATATTTCCTTCTCCACAACAGGCCTCAAAGTGCTCCGAATATCCACTTGCAGATTTTACTAAAGAGTGTTTCCAAACTGCTCAATCAAGAGGAAGTTTCAAGTCTGTGAGCTGAACGCACACATCACAAAGTAGTTTCTGAGAATGCTTCTGTGTAGTTTTTATGTGAAGATGTTTCCTTTTCCACCATAGGCTGCAAAGGGCTCCAAATATCCACTTGCAGATTCTACAAAAAGAGAGTTTCAAAAGTGCTCTATCAAAAGATAGGTTCAACTATGTGATATGAATGCACACATCACAAAGTAGTTTCTCAGAATGCTTCTGTGTAGTTTTTATGTAAAGATATTTCCTTTTCCACCATAGGCCTCAAAGCACTCCAAATATCCACTTGCAGATTCTACAAAAAGAGATTTTCAAAACTATTTAATCAAAAGAAAGGTTCAAATCTGTCAGTTGAAGGTACATATCACAAACAAGTTTATTGGAATGCTTCTGTGTAGTTTTTATGTGAAGATATTTCCTTTTCCACAACAGGCCTCAAGGTGCTCCAAATATCCACTTGCAGATTTCACTAAAAGTGTGTTTCCAAGCTGCTCAATCAAGAGGAAGTTTCAAGTCTGTGAGGTGAATGCACACATTACAAAGAAGTTACTGAGAATGCTTCTGTGTAGTTTTTATGTGAAGATATTTCCTTTTCCACCGCAGGCCTCAAAGCGCTGCAAATATCCACTTGCAGATTCTACAAAAAGAGAGTTTCAAAACTGCTGTATCAAAAGATAGGGTCAACTCTGCGAGTTGAATAAGCACATCACAAATAAGTTTCTGGGAACGCTTCTGTATAGTTTTATGTGAATATATTTCCTTTTCCACCATATGCCTCAAAGCACTCCAAATATCCACTTGCACATTATAGAAACATAGTCTTTCAAAACTTGTCAATCAAAGAAAGGTTCAACTCCGTGAGATGAGTGCACACATCACAGAGAAGTTTCTCGGAATGTTTCTGTGTAGTTTTTATGTGAAGATATTGCCTTTTCCACAATAGGCCTCAAAGCGTTCCAAATATCCAATTGCAGATTCCACAAAAAAAGTTTTTTAAAACTGCTCAATCAAATGATAGATTAAACTCTGTGAGATTAGTGCACACATGTCAAAAAAGTTTCTCAGAATGCTTCTGTGTACTTTTTAGGGGAAGATATTTCCTTTTCCACCATCGGCCACAAAGGACTCCAAATAACCACATGCAGATTCTAGTAACACAGAGTTTCAAAACTGCTCTATCAAAAGATAAGTTCAACTCTGAGAGTTTAGTGCAACCATCGTGAAGAAGTTTCTCAGAATGCTTCTGAGTAGTGTTTATGTGAAGATATTTCCTTTTCCACCATAGGCCTGAAAGCCCTCCAAATATCCACTTGCAGATCCTACAAAAAGAAAGTTTCGAAATGCTCTCTCAAACGATAGTTTCGACTCTGTGGTATGAATACACACATCACAAAGAAGTTTCTCAGAATGCTTCTGTGTAGTTTTTAAATGAAGATATTTCTTTTTCCACCATAGGCCTCAAAGCACTCCAAATATGCACTTCCAGATTCTACAAAAAGAGTGTTTCAGAACTGCTCAATCAAAAGGAAGGTTCCAGTCTGAGACAAATACACACATCAAAAGGTAGTTTCTCAGAATGCTTCTGTGTAGTTTTTATGTGAAGATATTTTCCTTTCCACCATAGGCCACAAATGGCTCTAAATACCCACTTACATTTTCCACAAAAAGAGAGTTTCAAAACTGCTCTACCAAAGGTAAGTTTAACGCTGTGAGTTAAGAACATCACAAAGAAGTTTCTCAGAATGCTTCTGTGTAGTTCTTACGTAAAGATATTTCCTTTTACACAATAGGCAGAAAAGTGCTCCAAATATCCACTTGAAGATTCTACAGAAACCGTGTTTCAAAACTGCCGAATCAAAAGAAAGGTTCAACTCTGTGAGATGAATGCACACATAACAAAGGAGTTTCTCAGAATGCTTCTGTGTAGCTTTTATATGAAGACATTTAGTTTTCCACAACAGGCCTCAAAGCTCTCTCCATATCCACTTGCAGATTCTACCGAAAGAGTGCTTCCAAACTGCTCAATCAAAAGAGACATTCAAATCTGTGAGGTGAATGCAGACATCGTAAAGAAGTTTCTCAGAATGCTTCTGTGTATTTTTTGTGTGAAGTTATTCGTTTTTGCACCATAGGCCTCCAAGCGTTCTAAATATCCACTTCTAGATTCTACAAAAAGAGAGTTTCAAAACTACTCAAACAAAAGGTTCAATTCTGTGAGTTGAAAGCAAACATCACAAAGAAGTTTCTCAGAATGCGTTCTGTGTAGTTTTGATGTGAAGATATTTCCTTTTCACAGTAGAATGCAAAGGGCTCCAAATATCCACTTGGAGATTCTACAAAAAGAGTTTCAAAACCGCTCTGTCAAATGATAGGTTGAACTCCCGGAGGTGAATACACACATCACAAAGAGGTTTCTCAGCATGCTTCTGTGTAGTTTTTATGTAAACATATTTCCGTTTCTATCATAGGCCTCAAAGTGCTCCAAATATTCACTTGTACATTCTACCAAACGAGTATTTCAAAACTGCTCAATCAAATGGAAGGTTCAAAACCGTGACATGAATGCCCACATCACAAAGTAGTTTCTCAGAATGCTTCTGTGTAGTTTTTATGTGAAGATATTTCCTTTTCCACAACAGCGTGCAAAACGCTTCAAATATGCCCTTAGAGATTCCACAAAAAGAGTGTTTCCAAACTACTCAAATCAAAAAATGATTTCAACTCTGTGAGATGAATGCACACATCACAAACTAGTTTCTCAGAATGTTTCTGCCTGGTTCTCATGCGAAGAATAGTTCCTTTTTCACCATAGGCCGCAATGTACTCCAAATATCCACCTGCAGATTCTACAAAAGTGAGTTTCAAAACTGCTCTATCAAAAGATCAGTTCGTCTCTGTGAGTTGAATGCATACATCAAAAAGAAGCTTCTCAAAATGCTTCTGTGTGGTTTTTCGGTGAAGATAGTTCTTTTTCTACCATAGGTCTCAAACCACTCCAAATATCCACTTGTAGATTCTATAAAAAGGAATGTTCAAAATTGCTCAATAAAAATAAAGTTTCAACACCGTGAGATGAGTGCACAAATCACAAAGGAGTTTCTCAAAATGCTTCTGGGTAGTTTTTCTGTGAAGATAGTTCCTTTTCTACCATGGGCCACAAAGGGCTCCAAATACCCACTTGCAGATTCTACAAAAAGAGAGTTTCACAACTGCTCTATCAAACAATATGTTCAACTTTGTGGGTTGAACACAAATATCACAAGAATTTTCTCCCAATGCTTCTGTGTAGTTTTTATGTGAAGACATTTCTTTTCCCTCCATAGTCCACAAAGTGCTCCAAATATCCACTTACATATTCTAGAAAAAGATTGCTTGGAAACTGCACAATGAAAAGAAAGGTTCAAATATATGAGATGAATGCACACATCACAAAGAAGTTTCTCAGAATCTCTCTGTGTAATTTTTATGTGAAGATATTTCCTTTCCCACCTTAGGTCTTAAAACGCTCCAAATATCCACTTGCAGATACTACAAGAAGATTGTTTCAAAACTGCACAAAAAAAGAAATGTTCAATTCTGTTTGATGAATGCACACATCACAAAGAAGTTTCTCAGAATGCTTCTCTGTAGTTTTTATGTGAAGATATTTCCTTTTCCACAATAGGCCTCAAAGGGCTCCAAATATCCACTTCCAGATTCTATGAAAAGAATATTTCCAAACTGCTCAATCATAGGAAATGTTCAACTCTGTGAGATGAATGCACACATCACAAGAAATTTCTCAGAATCCTTCAGTGTAGGTTTTATGAGAAGATAATTCCTTTTCCACAATAGTTCTCAAAGCACTCAAAATATCCACTTGCAGATTCTACAAAAGGAGTATTTCAAAACTGCTCAATCAAAAGAAAGGTTCAACTCTGTGAGATGAATGGACACATCACAAAGAAGTTTCTCAGAATGCTTCTGTGTAGTATTTTTGTGAAGATATTTCTTTTCCACCATAGACCGCCAGGGGACACAAATATCCACTTTCAGATTCTACAACAAGAGAGGTTCAAAACTACTCGATCAAGAGATGGTTTCAACTATGTGAGTTGAATGCACACATCACAAAGAACTATGTCGGAATTCTTCTGTGTAGTTTTTATGTGAAGATATTTCCTTTTCCACAATAGACGTCAAAGTGATCCAGATATCCACTTGCAGATTCCACAAAAAGAGTGTTTCAAAAGTGCACAACCAAAAGAAAGGTTCAACTAGGTGAGATGAATGCACACATCAGAAGGAAGTTTCTCAGAATGCTTCTGCATAGCTTTTAAGGGAAGATACTTCCTTTTCCAACATAGGCCTCAAAGCACTCCAAATATCCTCCTGGAGATACCACAAAAAGAGTGTTTGCAAACTGCTCAATCAAAAGAAAGATTTAACTCTGTGAGATGAATCCACACATGACAAAGAAGTTTCTCAGAATGCTTCTGTGTAGTTTTTATGTGAAGATATTTCCTTTTCCACAATAAGACCCAAAAGGCTCCAAATATTCACTTGCAGATTCTAAAAAAAACAGTGTTTCAAAACTGCTCAATCAAAAGATAGTTCAACTCTGTGAGAAGAATGCTCACATCACTGAGAAGTTTCTCAGAATGCTTCTGTGTAGTTTTTATGTGAAGATATTTCCTTTTCCACAATAAGACCCAAAAGGCTCCAAATATTCACTTGCAGATTCTAAAAAAAACAGTGTTTCAAAACTGCTCAATCAAAAGATAGTTCAACTCTGTGAGAAGAATGCTCACATCACTGAGAAGTTTCTCAGAATGCTTCTGTGTAGTTTTTATATGAAGATATTTCCTTTCCCACCGTAGGCCACAAAAGGCTCCAAATATCCACTTGCAGATACTATGAAAAGAGAGTTTCAAAACTGCTCATTCAAAAGATAGGTTCAACTCTGTGGTTTGAATGCACACAGCACAAAGAAGTTTCACAGAATGTGTCTGTGTAGTTTTTATGTGCGGATGTTTCCTTTTCCACCATATGCCTAAATATTTCCCAATTTCCACTTGCAGATTCCACAAGAAGAGTGTTTCAAAACTGCTGTATCAAATAAAGTTGAACTCTGTGAGGTGAATGCACACAGCACAAAATGGTTTCTCAGAATGCTTTCCTTGTTGTTTTTATATGAAGATGTTTCCTTTTCAACAATAGGCCTCAAAGTGCTTCAAATGTCCACTTGCAGATTCTACAAAAAGAGTGTTTCAAAACTGCTCAATCAAAAGAAAGGTTCGACTCTGGGAAATTAATGCACACATCACAAAGAAGTTTCTCAGCTTCTGTGTAGTTTTCATGTGAAGTTATTTCCTTTTCCACAATAGGCCGCAAAGGGCTCCAAATATCAACTTACAGATTCTAGGAAAAGAGAGTTTCAAAACTGCTCTACGAAAAGATAGGTTGAACTCTGTGAGATGAATGCACACATCACAAAGAAGTTTCTCAGAATGCATCTGTGTAGTTTTTACGGGAAGATATTTCCTTTTCCACCATCTTCCACAAAGGTCTCCAAGTAACCACTTGCAGATTCTACAGAAAGACACTTTAAAAACTGCTCTATCAAAAGATCAGTTCAAGTCTGTGGTTTGAATGCACACATCACAAAGAATTTTCTCAGAATGCTTCTGTGTAGTTTTCATATGAAGATATTTCCTTTTCCACCATAGGCCTCAAAGCACTCCAAATATCCACTTGCAGATTCTACAAAAAGAGATTTTCAAAACTAGTCAATCAAAAGAAAGGTTCAACTCTGTCAGTTGAATGCACATATCACAAACAAGTTTCTCGGAATGCGTCTGTGTAGTTTTTATGTGAAGATATTTCCTTCTCCACAACAGGCCTCAAAGTGCTCCGAATATCCACTTGCAGATTTTACTAAAGAGTGTTTCCAAACTGCTCAATCAAGAGGAAGTTTCAAGTCTGTGAGCTGAACGCACACATCACAAAGTAGTTTCTGAGAATGCTTCTGTGTAGTTTTTATGTGAAGATGTTTCCTTTTCCACCATAGGCTGCAAAGGGCTCCAAATATCCACTTGCAGATTCTACAAAAAGAGAGTTTCAAAAGTGCTCTATCAAAAGATAGGTTCAACTATGTGATATGAATGCACACATCACAAAGTAGTTTCTCAGAATGCTTCTGTGTAGTTTTTATGTAAAGATATTTCCTTTTCCACCATAGGCCTCAAAGCACTCCAAATATCCACTTGCAGATTCTACAAAAAGAGATTTTCAAAACTATTTAATCAAAAGAAAGGTTCAAATCTGTCAGTTGAAGGTACATATCACAAACAAGTTTATTGGAATGCTTTCTGTGTAGTTTTTATGTGAAGATATTTCCTTTTCCACAACAGGCCTCAAGGTGCTCCAAATATCCACTTGCAGATTTCACTAAAAGTGTGTTTCCAAGCTGCTCAATCAAGAGGAAGTTTCAAGTCTGTGAGGTGAATGCACACATTACAAAGAAGTTACTGAGAATGCTTCTGTGTAGTTTTTATGTGAAGATATTTCCTTTTCCACCGCAGGCCTCAAAGCGCTGCAAATATCCACTTGCAGATTCTACAAAAAGAGAGTTTCAAAACTGCTGTATCAAAAGATAGGGTCAACTCTGCGAGTTGAATAAGCACATCACAAATAAGTTTCTGGGAACGCTTCTGTATAGTTTTATGTGAATATATTTCCTTTTCCACCATATGCCTCAAAGCACTCCAAATATCCACTTGCACATTATAGAAACATAGTCTTTCAAAACTTGTCAATCAAAGAAAGGTTCAACTCCGTGAGATGAGTGCACACATCACAGAGAAGTTTCTCGGAATGTTTCTGTGTAGTTTTTATGTGAAGATATTGCCTTTTCCACAATAGGCCTCAAAGCGTTCCAAATATCCAATTGCAGATTCCACAAAAAAAGTTTTTTAAAACTGCTCAATCAAATGATAGATTAAACTCTGTGAGATTAGTGCACACATGTCAAAAAAGTTTCTCAGAATGCTTCTGTGTACTTTTTAGGGGAAGATATTTCCTTTTCCACCATCGGCCACAAAGGACTCCAAATAACCACATGCAGATTCTAGTAACACAGAGTTTCAAAACTGCTCTATCAAAAGATAAGTTCAACTCTGAGAGTTTAGTGCAACCATCGTGAAGAAGTTTCTCAGAATGCTTCTGAGTAGTGTTTATGTGAAGATATTTCCTTTTCCACCATAGGCCTGAAAGCCCTCCAAATATCCACTTGCAGATCCTACAAAAAGAAAGTTTCGAAATGCTCTCTCAAACGATAGTTTCGACTCTGTGGTATGAATACACACATCACAAAGAAGTTTCTCAGAATGCTTCTGTGTAGTTTTTAAATGAAGATATTTCTTTTTCCACCATAGGCCTCAAAGCACTCCAAATATGCACTTCCAGATTCTACAAAAAGAGTGTTTCAGAACTGCTCAATCAAAAGGAAGGTTCCAGTCTGAGACAAATACACACATCAAAAGGTAGTTTTCTCAGAATGCTTCTGTGTAGTTTTTATGTGAAGTATATTTTCCTTTCCACCATAGGCCACAAATGGCTCTAAATACCCACTTACATTTTCCACAAAAAGAGAGTTTCAAAACTGCTCTACCAAAGGTAAGTTTAACGCTGTGAGTTAAGAACATCACAAAGAAGTTTCTCAGAATGCTTCTGTGTAGTTCTTACGTAAAGATATTTCCTTTTACACAATAGGCAGAAAAGTGCTCCAAATATCCACTTGAAGATTCTACAAAAACCGTGTTTCAAAACTGCCGAATCAAAAGAAAGGTTCAACTCTGTGAGATGAATGCACACATAACAAAGGAGTTTCTCAGAATGCTTCTGTGTAGCTTTTATATGAAGACATTTAGTTTTCCACAACAGGCCTCAAAGCTCTCTCCATATCCACTTGCAGATTCTACCGAAAGAGTGCTTCCAAACTGCTCAATCAAAAGAGACATTCAAATCTGTGAGGTGAATGCAGACATCGTAAAGAAGTTTCTCAGAATGCTTCTGTGTATTTTTTGTGTGAAGTTATTCGTTTTTGCACCATAGGCCTCCAAGCGTTCTAAATATCCACTTCTAGATTCTACAAAAAGAGAGTTTCAAAACTACTCAAACAAAAGGTTCAATTCTGTGAGTTGAAAGCAAACATCACAAAGAAGTTTCTCAGAATGCGTCTGTGTAGTTTTGATGTGAAGATATTTCCTTTTCACAATAGAATGCAAAGGGCTCCAAATATCCACTTGGAGATTCTACAAAAAGAGTTTCAAAACCGCTCTGTCAAATGATAGGTTGAACTCCCGGAGGTGAATACACACATCACAAAGAGGTTTCTCAGCATGCTTCTGTGTAGTTTTTATGTAAACATATTTCCGTTTCTATCATAGGCCTCAAAGTGCTCCAAATATTCACTTGTACATTCTACCAAACGAGTATTTCAAAACTGCTCAATCAAATGGAAGGTTCAAAACTGTGACATGAATGCCCACATCACAAAGTAGTTTCTCAGAATGCTTCTGTGTAGTTTTTATGTGAAGATATTTCCTTTTCCACAACAGCGTGCAAAACGCTTCAAATATGCCCTTAGAGATTCCACAAAAAGAGTGTTTCCAAACTACTCAAATCAAAAAATGATTTCAACTCTGTGAGATGAATGCACACATCACAAACTAGTTTCTCAGAATGTTTCTGCCTGGTTCTCATGCGAAGATAGTTCCTTTTTCACCATAGGCCGCAATGTACTCCAAATATCCACCTGCAGATTCTACAAAAGTGAGTTTCAAAACTGCTCTATCAAAAGATCAGTTCGTCTCTGTGAGTTGAATGCATACATCAAAAAGAAGCTTCTCAAAATGCTTCTGTGTGGTTTTTCGGTGAAGATAGTTCTTTTTCTACCATAGGTCTCAAACCACTCCAAATATCCACTTGTAGATTCTATAAAAAGGAATGTTCAAAATTGCTCAATAAAAATAAAGTTTCAACACCGTGAGATGAGTGCACAAATCACAAAGGAGTTTCTCAAAATGCTTCTGGGTAGTTTTTCTGTGAAGATAGTTCCTTTTCTACCATGGGCCACAAAGGGCTCCAAATACCCACTTGCAGATTCTACAAAAAGAGAGTTTCACAACTGCTCTATCAAACAATATGTTCAACTTTGTGGGTTGAACACAAATATCACAAGAATTTTCTCCCAATGCTTCTGTGTAGTTTTTATGTGAAGACATTTCTTTTCCCTCCATAGTCCACAAAGTGCTCCAAATATCCACTTACATATTCTAGAAAAAGATTGCTTGGAAACTGCACAATGAAAAGAAAGGTTCAAATATATGAGATGAATGCACACATCACAAAGAAGTTTCTCAGAATCTCTCTGTGTAATTTTTATGTGAAGATATTTCCTTTCCCACCTTAGGTCTTAAAACGCTCCAAATATCCACTTGCAGATACTACAAGAAGATTGCTTCAAAACTGCACAAAAAAAGAAATGTTCAATTCTGTTTGATGAATGCACACATCACAAAGAAGTTTCTCAGAATGCTTCTCTGTAGTTTTTATGTGAAGATATTTCCTTTTCCACAATAGGCCTCAAAGGGCTCCAAATATCCACTTCCAGATTCTATGAAAAGAATATTTCCAAACTGCTCAATCATAGGAAATGTTCAACTCTGTGAGATGAATGCACACATCACAAGAAATTTCTCAGAATACTTCAGTGTAGGTTTTATGAGAAGATAATTCCTTTTCCACAATAGTTCTCAAAGCACTCAAAATATCCACTTGCAGATTCTACAAAAGGAGTATTTCAAAACTGCTCAATCAAAAGAAAGGTTCAACTCTGTGAGATGAATGGACACATCACAAAGAAGTTTCTCAGAATGCTTCTGTGTAGTATTTTTGTGAAGATATTTCTTTTCCACCATAGACCGCCAGGGGACACAAATATCCACTTTCAGATTCTACAACAAGAGAGGTTCAAAACTACTCGATCAAGAGATGGTTTCAACTATGTGAGTTGAATGCACACATCACAAAGAACTATGTCGGAATTCTTCTGTGTAGTTTTTATGTGAAGATATTTCCTTTTCCACAATAGACGTCAAAGTGATCCAGATATCCACTTGCAGATTCCACAAAAAGAGTGTTTCAAAAGTGCACAACCAAAAGAAAGGTTCAACTAGGTGAGATGAATGCACACATCAGAAGGAAGTTTCTCAGAATGCTTCTGCATAGCTTTTAAGGGAAGATACTTCCTTTTCCAACATAGGCCTCAAAGCACTCCAAATATCCTCCTGGAGATACCACAAAAAGAGTGTTTGCAAACTGCTCAATCAAAAGAAAGATTTAACTCTGTGAGATGAATCCACACATGACAAAGAAGTTTCTCAGAATGCTTCTGTGTAGTTTTTATGTGAAGATATTTCCTTTTCCACAATAAGACCCAAAAGGCTCCAAATATTCACTTGCAGATTCTAAAAAAAACAGTGTTTCAAAACTGCTCAATCAAAAGATAGTTCAACTCTGTGAGAAGAATGCTCACATCACTGAGAAGTTTCTCAGAATGCTTCTGTGTAGTTTTTATATGAAGATATTTCCTTTCCCACCGTAGGCCACAAAAGGCTCCAAATATCCACTTGCAGATACTATGAAAAGAGAGTTTCAAAACTGCTCATTCAAAAGATAGGTTCAACTACTGTGGTTTGAATGCACACAGCACAAAGAAGTTTCACAGAATGTGTTCTGTGTAGTTTTTATGTGAAATATTTCCTTTTCCACCATAGGCTTCAAAGTGCTCCAAATATTCACTTGTAAATTATAAAAACAGAATTTTTCAAAAATGCTCAGTTAAAAGAATGTTTCAACACTGTGAGATGAATGCACACATCACAGAAAGTTTCTGGGAATGCTTCTGTGTAGTTTTTATGTGAAGATGTTTCCTTTTCCACCATAGGCTGCAAAGGGCTCCAAATATCCACTTGCAGATTCTACAAAAAGAGAGTTTCAAAAGTGCTCTATCAAAAGATAGGTTCAACTATGTGATATGAATGCACACATCACAAAGTAGTTTCTCAGAATGCTTTCTGTGTAGTTTTCATATGAAGATATTTCCTTTTCCACCGTAGGCCTCAAAGCACTCCAAATATCCACTTGCAGATTCTACAAAAAGAGATTTTCAAAACTAGTCAATCAAAAGAAAGGTTCAACTCTGTCAGTTGAATGCACATATCACAAACAAGTTTCTCGGAATGCGTCTGTGTAGTTTTTATGTGAAGATATTTCCTTCTCCACAACAGGCCTCAAAGTGCTCCGAATATCCACTTGCAGATTTTACTAAAGAGTGTTTCCAAACTGCTCAATCAAGAGGAAGTTTCAAGTCTGTGAGCTGAACGCACACATCACAAAGTAGTTTCTGAGAATGCTTCTGTGTAGTTTTTATGTGAAGATGTTTCCTTTTCCACCATAGGCTGCAAAGGGCTCCAAATATCCACTTGCAGATTCTACAAAAAGAGAGTTTCAAAAGTGCTCTATCAAAAGATAGGTTCAACTATGTGATATGAATGCACACATCACAAAGTAGTTTCTCAGAATGCTTCTGTGTAGTTTTTATGTAAAGATATTTCCTTTTCCACCATAGGCCTCAAAGCACTCCAAATATCCACTTGCAGATTCTACAAAAAGAGATTTTCAAAACTATTTAATCAAAAGAAAGGTTCAAATCTGTCAGTTGAAGGTACATATCACAAACAAGTTTATTGGAATGCTTCTGTGTAGTTTTTATGTGAAGATATTTCCTTTTCCACAACAGGCCTCAAGGTGCTCCAAATATCCACTTGCAGATTTCACTAAAAGTGTGTTTCCAAGCTGCTCAATCAAGAGGAAGTTTCAAGTCTGTGAGGTGAATGCACACATTACAAAGAAGTTACTGAGAATGCTTCTGTGTAGTTTTTATGTGAAGATATTTCCTTTTCCACCGCAGGCCTCAAAGCGCTGCAAATATCCACTTGCAGATTCTACAAAAAGAGAGTTTCAAAACTGCTGTATCAAAAGATAGGGTCAACTCTGCGAGTTGAATAAGCACATCACAAATAAGTTTCTGGGAACGCTTCTGTATAGTTTTATGTGAATATATTTCCTTTTCCACCATATGCCTCAAAGCACTCCAAATATCCACTTGCACATTATAGAAACATAGTCTTTCAAAACTTGTCAATCAAAGAAAGGTTCAACTCCGTGAGATGAGTGCACACATCACAGAGAAGTTTCTCGGAATGTTTCTGTGTAGTTTTTATGTGAAGATATTGCCTTTTCCACAATAGGCCTCAAAGCGTTCCAAATATCCAATTGCAGATTCCACAAAAAAAGTTTTTTAAAACTGCTCAATCAAATGATAGATTAAACTCTGTGAGATTAGTGCACACATGTCAAAAAAGTTTCTCAGAATGCTTCTGTGTACTTTTTAGGGGAAGATATTTCCTTTTCCACCATCGGCCACAAAGGACTCCAAATAACCACATGCAGATTCTAGTAACACAGAGTTTCAAAACTGCTCTATCAAAAGATAAGTTCAACTCTGAGAGTTTAGTGCAACCATCGTGAAGAAGTTTCTCAGAATGCTTCTGAGTAGTGTTTATGTGAAGATATTTCCTTTTCCACCATAGGCCTGAAAGCCCTCCAAATATCCACTTGCAGATCCTACAAAAAGAAAGTTTCGAAATGCTCTCTCAAACGATAGTTTCGACTCTGTGGTATGAATACACACACACATCACAAAGAAGTTTCTCAGAATGCTTCTGTGTAGTTTTTAAATGAAGATATTTCTTTTTCCACCATAGGCCTCAAAGCACTCCAAATATGCACTTCCAGATTCTACAAAAAGAGTGTTTCAGAACTGCTCAATCAAAAGGAAGGTTCCAGTCTGAGACAAATACACACATCAAAAGGTAGTTTCTCAGAATGCTTCTGTGTAGTTTTTATGTGAAGATATTTTCCTTTCCACCATAGGCCACAAATGGCTCTAAATACCCACTTACATTTTCCACAAAAAGAGAGTTTCAAAACTGCTCTACCAAAGGTAAGTTTAACGCTGTGAGTTAAGAACATCACAAAGAAGTTTCTCAGAATGCTTCTGTGTAGTTCTTACGTAAAGATATTTCCTTTTACACAATAGGCAGAAAAGTGCTCCAAATATCCACTTGAAGATTCTACAGAAACCGTGTTTCAAAACTGCCGAATCAAAAGAAAGGTTCAACTCTGTGAGATGAATGCACACATAACAAAGGAGTTTCTCAGAATGCTTCTGTGTAGCTTTTATATGAAGACATTTAGTTTTCCACAACAGGCCTCAAAGCTCTCTCCATATCCACTTGCAGATTCTACCGAAAGAGTGCTTCCAAACTGCTCAATCAAAAGAGACATTCAAATCTGTGAGGTGAATGCAGACATCGTAAAGAAGTTTCTCAGAATGCTTCTGTGTATTTTTTGTGTGAAGTTATTCGTTTTTGCACCATAGGCCTCCAAGCGTTCTAAATATCCACTTCTAGATTCTACAAAAAGAGAGTTTCAAAACTACTCAAACAAAAGGTTCAATTCTGTGAGTTGAAAGCAAACATCACAAAGAAGTTTCTCAGAATGCGTCTGTGTAGTTTTGATGTGAAGATATTTCCTTTTCACAGTAGAATGCAAAGGGCTCCAAATATCCACTTGGAGATTCTACAAAAAGAGTTTCAAAACCGCTCTGTCAAATGATAGGTTGAACTCCCGGAGGTGAATACACACATCACAAAGCGGTTTCTCAGCATGCTTCTGTGTAGTTTTTATGTAAACATATTTCCGTTTCTATCATAGGCCTCAAAGTGCTCCAAATATTCACTTGTACATTCTACCAAACGAGTATTTCAAAACTGCTCAATCAAATGGAAGGTTCAAAACCGTGACATGAATGCCCACATCACAAAGTAGTTTCTCAGAATGCTTCTGTGTAGTTTTTATGTGAAGATATTTCCTTTTCCACAACAGCGTGCAAAACGCTTCAAATATGCCCTTAGAGATTCCACAAAAAGAGTGTTTCCAAACTACTCAAATCAAAAAATGATTTCAACTCTGTGAGATGAATGCACACATCACAAACTAGTTTCTCAGAATGTTTCTGCCTGGTTCTCATGCGAAGATAGTTCCTTTTTCACCATAGGCCGCAATGTACTCCAAATATCCACCTGCAGATTCTACAAAAGTGAGTTTCAAAACTGCTCTATCAAAAGATCAGTTCGTCTCTGTGAGTTGAATGCATACATCAAAAAGAAGCTTCTCAAAATGCTTCTGTGTGGTTTTTCGGTGAAGATAGTTCTTTTTCTACCATAGGTCTCAAACCACTCCAAATATCCACTTGTAGATTCTATAAAAAGGAATGTTCAAAATTGCTCAATAAAAATAAAGTTTCAACACCGTGAGATGAGTGCACAAATCACAAAGGAGTTTCTCAAAATGCTTCTGGGTAGTTTTTCTGTGAAGATAGTTCCTTTTCTACCATGGGCCACAAAGGGCTCCAAATACCCACTTGCAGATTCTACAAAAAGAGAGTTTCACAACTGCTCTATCAAACAATATGTTCAACTTTGTGGGTTGAACACAAATATCACAAGAATTTTCTCCCAATGCTTCTGTGTAGTTTTTATGTGAAGACATTTCTTTTCCCTCCATAGTCCACAAAGTGCTCCAAATATCCACTTACATATTCTAGAAAAAGATTGCTTGGAAACTGCACAATGAAAAGAAAGGTTCAAATATATGAGATGAATGCACACATCACAAAGAAGTTTCTCAGAATCTCTCTGTGTAATTTTTATGTGAAGATATTTCCTTTCCCACCTTAGGTCTTAAAACGCTCCAAATATCCACTTGCAGATACTACAAGAAGATTGTTTCAAAACTGCACAAAAAAAGAAATGTTCAATTCTGTTTGATGAATGCACACATCACAAAGAAGTTTCTCAGAATGCTTCTCTGTAGTTTTTATGTGAAGATATTTCCTTTTCCACAATAGGCCTCAAAGGGCTCCAAATATCCACTTCCAGATTCTATGAAAAGAATATTTCCAAACTGCTCAATCATAGGAAATGTTCAACTCTGTGAGATGAATGCACACATCACAAGAAATTTCTCAGAATCCTTCAGTGTAGGTTTTATGAGAAGATAATTCCTTTTCCACAATAGTTCTCAAAGCACTCAAAATATCCACTTGCAGATTCTACAAAAGGAGTATTTCAAAACTGCTCAATCAAAAGAAAGGTTCAACTCTGTGGGATGAATGGACACATCACAAAGAAGTTTCTCAGAATGCTTCTGTGTAGTATTTTTGTGAAGATATTTCTTTTCCACCATAGACCGCCAGGGGACACAAATATCCACTTTCAGATTCTACAACAAGAGAGGTTCAAAACTACTCGATCAAGAGATGGTTTCAACTATGTGAGTTGAATGCACACATCACAAAGAACTATGTCGGAATTCTTCTGTGTAGTTTTTATGTGAAGATATTTCCTTTTCCACAATAGACGTCAAAGTGATCCAGATATCCACTTGCAGATTCCACAAAAAGAGTGTTTCAAAAGTGCACAACCAAAAGAAAGGTTCAACTAGGTGAGATGAATGCACACATCAGAAGGAAGTTTCTCAGAATGCTTCTGCATAGCTTTTAAGGGAAGATACTTCCTTTTCCAACATAGGCCTCAAAGCACTCCAAATATCCTCCTGGAGATACCACAAAAAGAGTGTTTGCAAACTGCTCAATCAAAAGAAAGATTTAACTCTGTGAGATGAATCCACACATGACAAAGAAGTTTCTCAGAATGCTTCTGTGTAGTTTTTATGTGAAGATATTTCCTTTTCCACAATAAGACCCAAAAGGCTCCAAATATTCACTTGCAGATTCTAAAAAAAACAGTGTTTCAAAACTGCTCAATCAAAAGATAGTTCAACTCTGTGAGAAGAATGCTCACATCACTGAGAAGTTTCTCAGAATGCTTCTGTGTAGTTTTTATATGAAGATATTTCCTTTCCCACCGTAGGCCACAA
The DNA here is from genome assembly GCF_000001405.40 of Homo sapiens. NCBI lineage: Eukaryota > Metazoa > Chordata > Mammalia > Primates > Hominidae > Homo > Homo sapiens. Next base: position 10,360,131 of record NC_000024.10, on the reverse strand, counting down.
AAGGCTCCAAATATCCACTTGCAGATACTATGAAAAGAGAGTTTCAAAACTGCTCATTCAAAAGATAGGTTCAACTCTGTGGTTTGAATGCACACAGCACAAAGAAGTTTCACAGAATGTGTCTGTGTAGTTTTTATGTGCGGATGTTTCCTTTTCCACCATATGCCTAAATATTTCCCAATTTCCACTTGCAGATTCTACAAGAAGAGTGTTTCAAAACTGCTGTATCAAATAAAGTTGAACTCTGTGAGGTGAATGCACACAGCACAAAATGGTTTCTCAGAATGCTTCCTTGTTTTTATATGAAGATGTTTCCTTTTCAACAATAGGCCTCAAAGTGCTTCAAATGTCCACTTGCAGATTCTACAAAAAGAGTGTTTCAAAACTGCTCAATCAAAAGAAAGGTTCGACTCTGGGAAATTAATGCACACATCACAAAGAAGTTTCTCAGCTTCTGTGTAGTTTTCATGTGAAGTTATTTCCTTTTCCACAATAGGCCGCAAAGGGCTCCAAATATCAACTTACAGATTCTAGGAAAAGAGAGTTTCAAAACTGCTCTACGAAAAGATAGGTTGAACTCTGTGAGATGAATGCACACATCACAAAGAAGTTTCTCAGAATGCATCTGTGTAGTTTTTACGGGAAGACATTTCCTTTTCCACCATCTTCCACAAAGGTCTCCAAGTAACCACTTGCAGATTCTACAGAAAGACACTTTAAAAACTGCTCTATCAAAAGATCAGTTCAAGTCTGTGGTTTGAATGCACACATCACAAAGAATTTTCTCAGAATGCTTCTGTGTAGTTTTCATATGAAGATATTTCCTTTTCCACCATAGGCCTCAAAGCACTCCAAATATCCACTTGCAGATTCTACAAAAAGAGATTTTCAAAACTAGTCAATCAAAAGAAAGGTTCAACTCTGTCAGTTGAATGCACATATCACAAACAAGTTTCTCGGAATGCGTCTGTGTAGTTTTTATGTGAAGATATTTCCTTCTCCACAACAGGCCTCAAAGTGCTCCGAATATCCACTTGCAGATTTTACTAAAGAGTGTTTCCAAACTGCTCAATCAAGAGGAAGTTTCAAGTCTGTGAGCTGAACGCACACATCACAAAGTAGTTTCTGAGAATGCTTCTGTGTAGTTTTTATGTGAAGATGTTTTCTTTTCCACCATAGGCTGCAAAGGGCTCCAAATATCCACTTGCAGATTCTACAAAAAGAGAGTTTCAAAAGTGCTCTATCAAAAGATAGGTTCAACTATGTGATATGAATGCACACATCACAAAGTAGTTTCTCAGAATGCTTCTGTGTAGTTTTTATGTAAAGATATTTCCTTTTCCACCATAGGCCTCAAAGCACTCCAAATATCCACTTGCAGATTCTACAAAAAGAGATTTTCAAAACTATTTAATCAAAAGAAAGGTTCAAATCTGTCAGTTGAAGGTACATATCACAAACAAGTTTATTGGAATGCTTCTGTGTAGTTTTTATGTGAAGATATTTCCTTTTCCACAACAGGCCTCAAGGTGCTCCAAATATCCACTTGCAGATTTCACTAAAAGTGTGTTTCCAAGCTGCTCAATCAAGAGGAAGTTTCAAGTCTGTGAGGTGAATGCACACATTACAAAGAAGTTACTGAGAATGCTTCTGTGTAGTTTTTATGTGAAGATATTTCCTTTTCCACCGCAGGCCTCAAAGCGCTGCAAATATCCACTTGCAGATTCTACAAAAAGAGAGTTTCAAAACTGCTGTATCAAAAGATAGGGTCAACTCTGCGAGTTGAATAAGCACATCACAAATAAGTTTCTGGGAACGCTTCTGTATAGTTTTATGTGAATATATTTCCTTTTCCACCATATGCCTCAAAGCACTCCAAATATCCACTTGCACATTATAGAAACATAGTCTTTCAAAACTTGTCAATCAAAGAAAGGTTCAACTCCGTGAGATGAGTGCACACATCACAGAGAAGTTTCTCGGAATGTTTCTGTGTAGTTTTTATGTGAAGATATTGCCTTTTCCACAATAGGCCTCAAAGCGTTCCAAATATCCAATTGCAGATTCCACAAAAAAAGTTTTTTAAAACTGCTCAATCAAATGATAGATTAAACTCTGTGAGATTAGTGCACACATGTCAAAAAAGTTTCTCAGAATGCTTCTGTGTACTTTTTAGGGGAAGATATTTCCTTTTCCACCATCGGCCACAAAGGACTCCAAATAACCACATGCAGATTCTAGTAACACAGAGTTTCAAAACTGCTCTATCAAAAGATAAGTTCAACTCTGAGAGTTTAGTGCAACCATCGTGAAGAAGTTTCTCAGAATGCTTCTGAGTAGTGTTTATGTGAAGATATTTCCTTTTCCACCATAGGCCTGAAAGCCCTCCAAATATCCACTTGCAGATCCTACAAAAAGAAAGTTTCGAAATGCTCTCTCAAACGATAGTTTCGACTCTGTGGTATGAATACACACATCACAAAGAAGTTTCTCAGAATGCTTCTGTGTAGTTTTTAAATGAAGATATTTCTTTTTCCACCATAGGCCTCAAAGCACTCCAAATATGCACTTCCAGATTCTACAAAAAGAGTGTTTCAGAACTGCTCAATCAAAAGGAAGGTTCCAGTCTGAGACAAATACACACATCAAAAGGTAGTTTCTCAGAATGCTTCTGTGTAGTTTTTATGTGAAGATATTTTCCTTTCCACCATAGGCCACAAATGGCTCTAAATACCCACTTACATTTTCCACAAAAAGAGAGTTTCAAAACTGCTCTACCAAAGGTAAGTTTAACGCTGTGAGTTAAGAACATCACAAAGAAGTTTCTCAGAATGCTTCTGTGTAGTTCTTACGTAAAGATATTTCCTTTTACACAATAGGCAGAAAAGTGCTCCAAATATCCACTTGAAGATTCTACAGAAACCGTGTTTCAAAACTGCCGAATCAAAAGAAAGGTTCAACTCTGTGAGATGAATGCACACATAACAAAGGAGTTTCTCAGAATGCTTCTGTGTAGCTTTTATATGAAGACATTTAGTTTTCCACAACAGGCCTCAAAGCTCTCTCCATATCCACTTGCAGATTCTACCGAAAGAGTGCTTCCAAACTGCTCAATCAAAAGAGACATTCAAATCTGTGAGGTGAATGCAGACATCGTAAAGAAGTTTCTCAGAATGCTTCTGTGTATTTTTTGTGTGAAGTTATTCGTTTTTGCACCATAGGCCTCCAAGCGTTCTAAATATCCACTTCTAGATTCTACAAAAAGAGAGTTTCAAAACTACTCAAACAAAAGGTTCAATTCTGTGAGTTGAAAGCAAACATCACAAAGAAGTTTCTCAGAATGCGTTCTGTGTAGTTTTGATGTGAAGATATTTCCTTTTCACAGTAGAATGCAAAGGGCTCCAAATATCCACTTGGAGATTCTACAAAAAGAGTTTCAAAACCGCTCTGTCAAATGATAGGTTGAACTCCCGGAGGTGAATACACACATCACAAAGAGGTTTCTCAGCATGCTTCTGTGTAGTTTTTATGTAAACATATTTCCGTTTCTATCATAGGCCTCAAGTGCTCCAAATATTCACTTGTACATTCTACCAAACGAGTATTTCAAAACTGCTCAATCAAATGGAAGGTTCAAAACCGTGACATGAATGCCCACATCACAAAGTAGTTTCTCAGAATGCTTCTGTGTAGTTTTTATGTGAAGATATTTCCTTTTCCACAACAGCGTGCAAAACGCTTCAAATATGCCCTTAGAGATTCCACAAAAAGAGTGTTTCCAAACTACTCAAATCAAAAAATGATTTCAACTCTGTGAGATGAATGCACACATCACAAACTAGTTTCTCAGAATGTTTCTGCCTGGTTCTCATGCGAAGATAGTTCCTTTTTCACCATAGGCCGCAATGTACTCCAAATATCCACCTGCAGATTCTACAAAAGTGAGTTTCAAAACTGCTCTATCAAAAGATCAGTTCGTCTCTGTGAGTTGAATGCATACATCAAAAAGAAGCTTCTCAAAATGCTTCTGTGTGGTTTTTCGGTGAAGATAGTTCTTTTTCTACCATAGGTCTCAAACCACTCCAAATATCCACTTGTAGATTCTATAAAAAGGAATGTTCAAAATTGCTCAATAAAAATAAAGTTTCAACACCGTGAGATGAGTGCACAAATCACAAAGGAGTTTCTCAAAATGCTTCTGGGTAGTTTTTCTGTGAAGATAGTTCCTTTTCTACCATGGGCCACAAAGGGCTCCAAATACCCACTTGCAGATTCTACAAAAAGAGAGTTTCACAACTGCTCTATCAAACAATATGTTCAACTTTGTGGGTTGAACACAAATATCACAAGAATTTTCTCCCAATGCTTCTGTGTAGTTTTTATGTGAAGACATTTCTTTTCCCTCCATAGTCCACAAAGTGCTCCAAATATCCACTTACATATTCTAGAAAAAGATTGCTTGGAAACTGCACAATGAAAAGAAAGGTTCAAATATATGAGATGAATGCACACATCACAAAGAAGTTTCTCAGAATCTCTCTGTGTAATTTTTATGTGAAGATATTTCCTTTCCCACCTTAGGTCTTAAAACGCTCCAAATATCCACTTGCAGATACTACAAGAAGATTGTTTCAAAACTGCACAAAAAAAGAAATGTTCAATTCTGTTTGATGAATGCACACATCACAAAGAAGTTTCTCAGAATGCTTCTCTGTAGTTTTTATGTGAAGATATTTCCTTTTCCACAATAGGCCTCAAAGGGCTCCAAATATCCACTTCCAGATTCTATGAAAAGAATATTTCCAAACTGCTCAATCATAGGAAATGTTCAACTCTGTGAGATGAATGCACACATCACAAGAAATTTCTCAGAATCCTTCAGTGTAGGTTTTATGAGAAGATAATTCCTTTTCCACAATAGTTCTCAAAGCACTCAAAATATCCACTTGCAGATTCTACAAAAGGAGTATTTCAAAACTGCTCAATCAAAAGAAAGGTTCAACTCTGTGAGATGAATGGACACATCACAAAGAAGTTTCTCAGAATGCTTCTGTGTAGTATTTTTGTGAAGATATTTCTTTTCCACCATAGACCGCCAGGGGACACAAATATCCACTTTCAGATTCTACAACAAGAGAGGTTCAAAACTACTCGATCAAGAGATGGTTTCAACTATGTGAGTTGAATGCACACATCACAAAGAACTATGTCGGAATTCTTCTGTGTAGTTTTTATGTGAAGATATTTCCTTTTCCACAATAGACGTCAAAGTGATCCAGATATCCACTTGCAGATTCCACAAAAAGAGTGTTTCAAAAGTGCACAACCAAAAGAAAGGTTCAACTAGGTGAGATGAATGCACACATCAGAAGGAAGTTTCTCAGAATGCTTCTGCATAGCTTTTAAGGGAAGATACTTCCTTTTCCAACATAGGCCTCAAAGCACTCCAAATATCCTCCTGGAGATACCACAAAAAGAGTGTTTGCAAACTGCTCAATCAAAAGAAAGATTTAACTCTGTGAGATGAATCCACACATGACAAAGAAGTTTCTCAGAATGCTTCTGTGTAGTTTTTATGTGAAGATATTTCCTTTTCCACAATAAGACCCAAAAGGCTCCAAATATTCACTTGCAGATTCTAAAAAAAACAGTGTTTCAAAACTGCTCAATCAAAAGATAGTTCAACTCTGTGAGAAGAATGCTCACATCACTGAGAAGTTTCTCAGAATGCTTCTGTGTAGTTTTTATATGAAGATATTTCCTTTCCCACCGTAGGCCACAAAAGGCTCCAAATATCCACTTGCAGATACTATGAAAAGAGAGTTTCAAAACTGCTCATTCAAAAGATAGGTTCAACTCTGTGGTTTGAATGCACACAGCACAAAGAAGTTTCACAGAATGTGTCTGTGTAGTTTTTATGTGCGGATGTTTCCTTTTCCACCATATGCCTAAATATTTCCCAATTTCCACTTGCAGATTCCACAAGAAGAGTGTTTCAAAACTGCTGTATCAAATAAAGTTGAACTCTGTGAGGTGAATGCACACAGCACAAAATGGTTTCTCAGAATGCTTCCTTGTTGTTTTTATATGAAGATGTTTCCTTTTCAACAATAGGCCTCAAAGTGCTTCAAATGTCCACTTGCAGATTCTACAAAAAGAGTGTTTCAAAACTGCTCAATCAAAAGAAAGGTTCGACTCTGGGAAATTAATGCACACATCACAAAGAAGTTTCTCAGCTTCTGTGTAGTTTTCATGTGAAGTTATTTCCTTTTCCACAATAGGCCGCAAAGGGCTCCAAATATCAACTTACAGATTCTAGGAAAAGAGAGTTTCAAAACTGCTCTATGAAAAGATAGGTTGAACTCTGTGAGATGAATGCACACATCACAAAGAAGTTTCTCAGAATGCATCTGTGTAGTTTTTACGGGAAGACATTCTCCTTTTCCACCATCTTCCACAAAGGTCTCCAAGTAACCACTTGCAGATTCTACAGAAAGACACTTTAAAAACTGCTCTATCAAAAGATCAGTTCAAGTCTGTGGTTTGAATGCACACATCACAAAGAATTTTCTCAGAATGCTTCTGTGTAGTTTTCATATGAAGATATTTCCTTTTCCACCATAGGCCTCAAAGCACTCCAAATATCCACTTGCAGATTCTACAAAAAGAGATTTTCAAAACTAGTCAATCAAAAGAAAGGTTCAACTCTGTCAGTTGAATGCACATATCACAAACAAGTTTCTCGGAATGCGTCTGTGTAGTTTTTATGTGAAGATATTTCCTTCTCCACAACAGGCCTCAAAGTGCTCCGAATATCCACTTGCAGATTTTACTAAAGAGTGTTTCCAAACTGCTCAATCAAGAGGAAGTTTCAAGTCTGTGAGCTGAACGCACACATCACAAAGTAGTTTCTGAGAATGCTTCTGTGTAGTTTTTATGTGAAGATGTTTCCTTTTCCACCATAGGCTGCAAAGGGCTCCAAATATCCACTTGCAGATTCTACAAAAAGAGAGTTTCAAAAGTGCTCTATCAAAAGATAGGTTCAACTATGTGATATGAATGCACACATCACAAAGTAGTTTCTCAGAATGCTTCTGTGTAGTTTTTATGTAAAGATATTTCCTTTTCCACCATAGGCCTCAAAGCACTCCAAATATCCACTTGCAGATTCTACAAAAAGAGATTTTCAAAACTATTTAATCAAAAGAAAGGTTCAAATCTGTCAGTTGAAGGTACATATCACAAACAAGTTTATTGGAATGCTTCTGTGTAGTTTTTATGTGAAGATATTTCCTTTTCCACAACAGGCCTCAAGGTGCTCCAAATATCCACTTGCAGATTTCACTAAAAGTGTGTTTCCAAGCTGCTCAATCAAGAGGAAGTTTCAAGTCTGTGAGGTGAATGCACACATTACAAAGAAGTTACTGAGAATGCTTCTGTGTAGTTTTTATGTGAAGATATTTCCTTTTCCACCGCAGGCCTCAAAGCGCTGCAAATATCCACTTGCAGATTCTACAAAAAGAGAGTTTCAAAACTGCTGTATCAAAAGATAGGGTCAACTCTGCGAGTTGAATAAGCACATCACAAATAAGTTTCTGGGAACGCTTCTGTATAGTTTTATGTGAATATATTTCCTTTTCCACCATATGCCTCAAAGCACTCCAAATATCCACTTGCACATTATAGAAACATAGTCTTTCAAAACTTGTCAATCAAAGAAAGGTTCAACTCCGTGAGATGAGTGCACACATCACAGAGAAGTTTCTCGGAATGTTTCTGTGTAGTTTTTATGTGAAGATATTGCCTTTTCCACAATAGGCCTCAAAGCGTTCCAAATATCCAATTGCAGATTCCACAAAAAAAGTTTTTTAAAACTGCTCAATCAAATGATAGATTAAACTCTGTGAGATTAGTGCACACATGTCAAAAAAGTTTCTCAGAATGCTTCTGTGTACTTTTTAGGGGAAGATATTTCCTTTTCCACCATCGGCCACAAAGGACTCCAAATAACCACATGCAGATTCTAGTAACACAGAGTTTCAAAACTGCTCTATCAAAAGATAAGTTCAACTCTGAGAGTTTAGTGCAACCATCGTGAAGAAGTTTCTCAGAATGCTTCTGAGTAGTGTTTATGTGAAGATATTTCCTTTTCCACCATAGGCCTGAAAGCCCTCCAAATATCCACTTGCAGATCCTACAAAAAGAAAGTTTCGAAATGCTCTCTCAAACGATAGTTTCGACTCTGTGGTATGAATACACACACACATCACAAAGAAGTTTCTCAGAATGCTTTCTGTGTAGTTTTTAAATGAAGATATTTCTTTTTTCCACCATAGGCCTCAAAGCACTCCAAATATGCACTTCCAGATTCTACAAAAAGAGTGTTTCAGAACTGCTCAATCAAAAGGAAGGTTCCAGTCTGAGACAAATACACACATCAAAAGGTAGTTTCTCAGAATGCTTCTGTGTAGTTTTTATGTGAAGATATTTTCCTTTCCACCATAGGCCACAAATGGCTCTAAATACCCACTTACATTTTCCACAAAAAGAGAGTTTCAAAACTGCTCTACCAAAGGTAAGTTTAACGCTGTGAGTTAAGAACATCACAAAGAAGTTTCTCAGAATGCTTCTGTGTAGTTCTTACGTAAAGATATTTCCTTTTACACAATAGGCAGAAAAGTGCTCCAAATATCCACTTGAAGATTCTACAAAAACCGTGTTTCAAAACTGCCGAATCAAAAGAAAGGTTCAACTCTGTGAGATGAATGCACACATAACAAAGGAGTTTCTCAGAATGCTTCTGTGTAGCTTTTATATGAAGACATTTAGTTTTCCACAACAGGCCTCAAAGCTCTCTCCATATCCACTTGCAGATTCTACCGAAAGAGTGCTTCCAAACTGCTCAATCAAAAGAGACATTCAAATCTGTGAGGTGAATGCAGACATCGTAAAGAAGTTTCTCAGAATGCTTCTGTGTATTTTTTGTGTGAAGTTATTCGTTTTTGCACCATAGGCCTCCAAGCGTTCTAAATATCCACTTCTAGATTCTACAAAAAGAGAGTTTCAAAACTACTCAAACAAAAGGTTCAATTCTGTGAGTTGAAAGCAAACATCACAAAGAAGTTTCTCAGAATGCGTCTGTGTAGTTTTGATGTGAAGATATTTCCTTTTCACAGTAGAATGCAAAGGGCTCCAAATATCCACTTGGAGATTCTACAAAAAGAGTTTCAAAACCGCTCTGTCAAATGATAGGTTGAACTCCCGGAGGTGAATACACACATCACAAAGAGGTTTCTCAGCATGCTTCTGTGTAGTTTTTATGTAAACATATTTCCGTTTCTATCATAGGCCTCAAAGTGCTCCAAATATTCACTTGTACATTCTACCAAACGAGTATTTCAAAACTGCTCAATCAAATGGAAGGTTCAAAACCGTGACATGAATGCCCACATCACAAAGTAGTTTCTCAGAATGCTTCTGTGTAGTTTTTATGTGAAGATATTTCCTTTTCCACAACAGCGTGCAAAACGCTTCAAATATGCCCTTAGAGATTCCACAAAAAGAGTGTTTCCAAACTACTCAAATCAAAAAATGATTTCAACTCTGTGAGATGAATGCACACATCACAAACTAGTTTCTCAGAATGTTTCTGCCTGGTTCTCATGCGAAGATAGTTCCTTTTTCACCATAGGCCGCAATGTACTCCAAATATCCACCTGCAGATTCTACAAAAGTGAGTTTCAAAACTGCTCTATCAAAAGATCAGTTCGTCTCTGTGAGTTGAATGCATACATCAAAAAGAAGCTTCTCAAAATGCTTCTGTGTGGTTTTTCGGTGAAGATAGTTCTTTTTCTACCATAGGTCTCAAACCACTCCAAATATCCACTTGTAGATTCTATAAAAAGGAATGTTCAAAATTGCTCAATAAAAATAAAGTTTCAACACCGTGAGATGAGTGCACAAATCACAAAGGAGTTTCTCAAAATGCTTCTGGGTAGTTTTTCTGTGAAGATAGTTCCTTTTCTACCATGGGCCACAAAGGGCTCCAAATACCCACTTGCAGATTCTACAAAAAGAGAGTTTCACAACTGCTCTATCAAACAATATGTTCAACTTTGTGGGTTGAACACAAATATCACAAGAATTTTCTCCCAATGCTTCTGTGTAGTTTTTATGTGAAGACATTTCTTTTCCCTCCATAGTCCACAAAGTGCTCCAAATATCCACTTACATATTCTAGAAAAAGATTGCTTGGAAACTGCACAATGAAAAGAAAGGTTCAAATATATGAGATGAATGCACACATCACAAAGAAGTTTCTCAGAATCTCTCTGTGTAATTTTTATGTGAAGATATTTCCTTTCCCACCTTAGGTCTTAAAACGCTCCAAATATCCACTTGCAGATACTACAAGAAGATTGTTTCAAAACTGCACAAAAAAAGAAATGTTCAATTCTGTTTGATGAATGCACACATCACAAAGAAGTTTCTCAGAATGCTTCTCTGTAGTTTTTATGTGAAGATATTTCCTTTTCCACAATAGGCCTCAAAGGGCTCCAAATATCCACTTCCAGATTCTATGAAAAGAATATTTCCAAACTGCTCAATCATAGGAAATGTTCAACTCTGTGAGATGAATGCACACATCACAAGAAATTTCTCAGAATCCTTCAGTGTAGGTTTTATGAGAAGATAATTCCTTTTCCACAATAGTTCTCAAAGCACTCAAAATATCCACTTGCAGATTCTACAAAAGGAGTATTTCAAAACTGCTCAATCAAAAGAAAGGTTCAACTCTGTGAGATGAATGGACACATCACAAAGAAGTTTCTCAGAATGCTTCTGTGTAGTATTTTTGTGAAGATATTTCTTTTCCACCATAGACCGCCAGGGGACACAAATATCCACTTTCAGATTCTACAACAAGAGAGGTTCAAAACTACTCGATCAAGAGATGGTTTCAACTATGTGAGTTGAATGCACACATCACAAAGAACTATGTCGGAATTCTTTCTGTGTAGTTTTTATGTGAAGATATTTCCTTTTCCACAATAGACGTCAAAGTGATCCAGATATCCACTTGCAGATTCCACAAAAAGAGTGTTTCAAAAGTGCACAACCAAAAGAAAGGTTCAACTAGGTGAGATGAATGCACACATCAGAAGGAAGTTTCTCAGAATGCTTCTGCATAGCTTTTAAGGGAAGATACTTCCTTTTCCAACATAGGCCTCAAAGCACTCCAAATATCCTCCTGGAGATACCACAAAAAGAGTGTTTGCAAACTGCTCAATCAAAAGAAAGATTTAACTCTGTGAGATGAATCCACACATGACAAAGAAGTTTCTCAGAATGCTTCTGTGTAGTTTTTATGTGAAGATATTTCCTTTTCCACAATAAGACCCAAAAGGCTCCAAATATTCACTTGCAGATTCTAAAAAAAACAGTGTTTCAAAACTGCTCAATCAAAAGATAGTTCAACTCTGTGAGAAGAATGCTCACATCACTGAGAAGTTTCTCAGAATGCTTCTGTGTAGTTTTTATATGAAGATATTTCCTTTCCCACCGTAGGCCACAAAAGGCTCCAAATATCCACTTGCAGATACTATGAAAAGAGAGTTTCAAAACTGCTCATTCAAAAGATAGGTTCAACTCTGTGGTTTGAATGCACACAGCACAAAGAAGTTTCACAGAATGTGTCTGTGTAGTTTTTATGTGCGGATGTTTCCTTTTCCACCATATGCCTAAATATTTCCCAATTTCCACTTGCAGATTCTACAAGAAGAGTGTTTCAAAACTGCTGTATCAAATAAAGTTGAACTCTGTGAGGTGAATGCACACAGCACAAAATGGTTTCTCAGAATGCTTCCTTGTTTTTATATGAAGATGTTTCCTTTTCAACAATAGGCCTCAAAGTGCTTCAAATGTCCACTTGCAGATTCTACAAAAAGAGTGTTTCAAAACTGCTCAATCAAAAGAAAGGTTCGACTCTGGGAAATTAATGCACACATCACAAAGAAGTTTCTCAGCTTCTGTGTAGTTTTCATGTGAAGTTATTTCCTTTTCCACAATAGGCCGCAAAGGGCTCCAAATATCAACTTACAGATTCTAGGAAAAGAGAGTTTCAAAACTGCTCTACGAAAAGATAGGTTGAACTCTGTGAGATGAATGCACACATCACAAAGAAGTTTCTCAGAATGCATCTGTGTAGTTTTTACGGGAAGACATTTCCTTTTCCACCATCTTCCACAAAGGTCTCCAAGTAACCACTTGCAGATTCTACAGAAAGACACTTTAAAAACTGCTCTATCAAAAGATCAGTTCAAGTCTGTGGTTTGAATGCACACATCACAAAGAATTTTCTCAGAATGCTTCTGTGTAGTTTTCATATGAAGATATTTCCTTTTCCACCATAGGCCTCAAAGCACTCCAAATATCCACTTGCAGATTCTACAAAAAGAGATTTTCAAAACTAGTCAATCAAAAGAAAGGTTCAACTCTGTCAGTTGAATGCACATATCACAAACAAGTTTCTCGGAATGCGTCTGTGTAGTTTTTATGTGAAGATATTTCCTTCTCCACAACAGGCCTCAAAGTGCTCCGAATATCCACTTGCAGATTTTACTAAAGAGTGTTTCCAAACTGCTCAATCAAGAGGAAGTTTCAAGTCTGTGAGCTGAACGCACACATCACAAAGTAGTTTCTGAGAATGCTTCTGTGTAGTTTTTATGTGAAGATGTTTCCTTTTCCACCATAGGCTGCAAAGGGCTCCAAATATCCACTTGCAGATTCTACAAAAAGAGAGTTTCAAAAGTGCTCTATCAAAAGATAGGTTCAACTATGTGATATGAATGCACACATCACAAAGTAGTTTCTCAGAATGCTTCTGTGTAGTTTTTATGTAAAGATATTTCCTTTTCCACCATAGGCCTCAAAGCACTCCAAATATCCACTTGCAGATTCTACAAAAAGAGATTTTCAAAACTATTTAATCAAAAGAAAGGTTCAAATCTGTCAGTTGAAGGTACATATCACAAACAAGTTTATTGGAATGCTTCTGTGTAGTTTTTATGTGAAGATATTTCCTTTTCCACAACAGGCCTCAAGGTGCTCCAAATATCCACTTGCAGATTTCACTAAAAGTGTGTTTCCAAGCTGCTCAATCAAGAGGAAGTTTCAAGTCTGTGAGGTGAATGCACACATTACAAAGAAGTTACTGAGAATGCTTCTGTGTAGTTTTTATGTGAAGATATTTCCTTTTCCACCGCAGGCCTCAAAGCGCTGCAAATATCCACTTGCAGATTCTACAAAAAGAGAGTTTCAAAACTGCTGTATCAAAAGATAGGGTCAACTCTGCGAGTTGAATAAACACATCACAAATAAGTTTCTGGGAACGCTTCTGTATAGTTTTATGTGAATATATTTCCTTTTCCACCATATGCCTCAAAGCACTCCAAATATCCACTTGCACATTATAGAAACATAGTCTTTCAAAACTTGTCAATCAAAGAAAGGTTCAACTCCGTGAGATGAGTGCACACATCACAGAGAAGTTTCTCGGAATGTTTCTGTGTAGTTTTTATGTGAAGATATTGCCTTTTCCACAATAGGCCTCAAAGCGTTCCAAATATCCAATTGCAGATTCCACAAAAAAAGTTTTTTAAAACTGCTCAATCAAATGATAGATTAAACTCTGTGAGATTAGTGCACACATGTCAAAAAAGTTTCTCAGAATGCTTCTGTGTACTTTTTAGGGGAAGATATTTCCTTTTCCACCATCGGCCACAAAGGACTCCAAATAACCACATGCAGATTCTAGTAACACAGAGTTTCAAAACTGCTCTATCAAAAGATAAGTTCAACTCTGAGAGTTTAGTGCAACCATCGTGAAGAAGTTTCTCAGAATGCTTCTGAGTAGTGTTTATGTGAAGATATTTCCTTTTCCACCATAGGCCTGAAAGCCCTCCAAATATCCACTTGCAGATCCTACAAAAAGAAAGTTTCGAAATGCTCTCTCAAACGATAGTTTCGACTCTGTGGTATGAATACACACACACATCACAAAGAAGTTTCTCAGAATGCTTCTGTGTAGTTTTTAAATGAAGATATTTCTTTTTCCACCATAGGCCTCAAAGCACTCCAAATATGCACTTCCAGATTCTACAAAAAGAGTGTTTCAGAACTGCTCAATCAAAAGGAAGGTTCCAGTCTGAGACAAATACACACATCAAAAGGTAGTTTCTCAGAATGCTTCTGTGTAGTTTTTATGTGAAGATATTTTCCTTTCCACCATAGGCCACAAATGGCTCTAAATACCCACTTACATTTTCCACAAAAAGAGAGTTTCAAAACTGCTCTACCAAAGGTAAGTTTAACGCTGTGAGTTAAGAACATCACAAAGAAGTTTCTCAGAATGCTTCTGTGTAGTTCTTACGTAAAGATATTTCCTTTTACACAATAGGCAGAAAAGTGCTCCAAATATCCACTTGAAGATTCTACAGAAACCGTGTTTCAAAACTGCCGAATCAAAAGAAAGGTTCAACTCTGTGAGATGAATGCACACATAACAAAGGAGTTTCTCAGAATGCTTCTGTGTAGCTTTTATATGAAGACATTTAGTTTTCCACAACAGGCCTCAAAGCTCTCTCCATATCCACTTGCAGATTCTACCGAAAGAGTGCTTCCAAACTGCTCAATCAAAAGAGACATTCAAATCTGTGAGGTGAATGCAGACATCGTAAAGAAGTTTCTCAGAATGCTTCTGTGTATTTTTTGTGTGAAGTTATTCGTTTTTGCACCATAGGCCTCCAAGCGTTCTAAATATCCACTTCTAGATTCTACAAAAAGAGAGTTTCAAAACTACTCAAACAAAAGGTTCAATTCTGTGAGTTGAAAGCAAACATCACAAAGAAGTTTCTCAGAATGCGTCTGTGTAGTTTTTATGTGAAGATATTTCCTTTTCACAGTAGAATGCAAAGGGCTCCAAATATCCACTTGGAGATTCTACAAAAAGAGTTTCAAAACCGCTCTGTCAAATGATAGGTTGAACTCCCGGAGGTGAATACACACATCACAAAGAGGTTTCTCAGCATGCTTCTGTGTAGTTTTTATGTAAACATATTTCCGTTTCTATCATAGGCCTCAAAGTGCTCCAAATATTCACTTGTACATTCTACCAAACGAGTATTTCAAAACTGCTCAATCAAATGGAAGGTTCAAAACCGTGACATGAATGCCCACATCACAAAGTAGTTTCTCAGAATGCTTCTGTGTAGTTTTTATGTGAAGATATTTCCTTTTCCACAACAGCGTGCAAAACGCTTCAAATATGCCCTTAGAGATTCCACAAAAAGAGTGTTTCCAAACTACTCAAATCAAAAAATGATTTCAACTCTGTGAGATGAATGCACACATCACAAACTAGTTTCTCAGAATGTTTCTGCCTGGTTCTCATGCGAAGATAGTTCCTTTTTCACCATAGGCCGCAATGTACTCCAAATATCCACCTGCAGATTCTACAAAAGTGAGTTTCAAAACTGCTCTATCAAAAGATCAGTTCGTCTCTGTGAGTTGAATGCATACATCAAAAAGAAGCTTCTCAAAATGCTTCTGTGTGGTTTTTCGGTGAAGATAGTTCTTTTTCTACCATAGGTCTCAAACCACTCCAAATATCCACTTGTAGATTCTATAAAAAGGAATGTTCAAAATTGCTCAATAAAAATAAAGTTTCAACACCGTGAGATGAGTGCACAAATCACAAAGAAGTTTCTCAAAATGCTTCTGGGTAGTTTTTCTGTGAAGATAGTTCCTTTTCTACCATGGGCCACAAAGGGCTCCAAATACCCACTTGCAGATTCTACAAAAAGAGAGTTTCACAACTGCTCTATCAAACAATATGTTCAACTTTGTGGGTTGAACACAAATATCACAAGAATTTTCTCCCAATGCTTCTGTGTAGTTTTTATGTGAAGACATTTCTTTTCCCTCCATAGTCCACAAAGTGCTCCAAATATCCACTTACATATTCTAGAAAAAGATTGCTTGGAAACTGCACAATGAAAAGAAAGGTTCAAATATATGAGATGAATGCACACATCACAAAGAAGTTTCTCAGAATCTCTCTGTGTAATTTTTATGTGAAGATATTTCCTTTCCCACCTTAGGTCTTAAAACGCTCCAAATATCCACTTGCAGATACTACAAGAAGATTGTTTCAAAACTGCACAAAAAAAGAAATGTTCAATTCTGTTTGATGAATGCACACATCACAAAGAAGTTTCTCAGAATGCTTCTCTGTAGTTTTTATGTGAAGATATTTCCTTTTCCACAATAGGCCTCAAAGGGCTCCAAGTATCCACTTCCAGATTCTATGAAAAGAATATTTCCAAACTGCTCAATCATAGGAAATGTTCAACTCTGTGAGATGAATGCACACATCACAAGAAATTTCTCAGAATCCTTCAGTGTAGGTTTTATGAGAAGATAATTCCTTTTCCACAATAGTTCTCAAAGCACTCAAAATATCCACTTGCAGATTCTACAAAAGGAGTATTTCAAAACTGCTCAATCAAAAGAAAGGTTCAACTCTGTGAGATGAATGGACACATCACAAAGAAGTTTCTCAGAATGCTTCTGTGTAGTATTTTTGTGAAGATATTTCTTTTCCACCATAGACCGCCAGGGGACACAAATATCCACTTTCAGATTCTACAACAAGAGAGGTTCAAAACTACTCGATCAAGAGATGGTTTCAACTATGTGAGTTGAATGCACACATCACAAAGAACTATGTCGGAATTCTTCTGTGTAGTTTTTATGTGAAGATATTTCCTTTTCCACAATAGACGTCAAAGTGATCCAGATATCCACTTGCAGATTCCACAAAAAGAGTGTTTCAAAAGTGCACAACCAAAAGAAAGGTTCAACTAGGTGAGATGAATGCACACATCAGAAGGAAGTTTCTCAGAATGCTTCTGCATAGCTTTTAAGGGAAGATACTTCCTTTTCCAACATAGGCCTCAAAGCACTCCAAATATCCTCCTGGAGATACCACAAAAAGAGTGTTTGCAAACTGCTCAATCAAAAGAAAGATTTAACTCTGTGAGATGAATCCACACATGACAAAGAAGTTTCTCAGAATGCTTCTGTGTAGTTTTTATGTGAAGATATTTCCTTTTCCACAATAAGACCCAAAAGGCTCCAAATATTCACTTGCAGATTCTAAAAAAAACAGTGTTTCAAAACTGCTCAATCAAAAGATAGTTCAACTCTGTGAGAAGAATGCTCACATCACTGAGAAGTTTCTCAGAATGCTTCTGTGTAGTTTTTATATGAAGATATTTCCTTTCCCACCGTAGGCCACAAAAGGCTCCAAATATCCACTTGCAGATACTATGAAAAGAGAGTTTCAAAACTGCTCATTCAAAAGATAGGTTCAACTCTGTGGTTTGAATGCACACAGCACAAAGGAAGTTTCACAGAATGTGTCTGTGTAGTTTTTATGTGCGGATGTTTCCTTTTCCACCATATGCCTAAATATTTCCCAATTTCCACTTGCAGATTCTACAAGAAGAGTGTTTCAAAACTGCTGTATCAAATAAAGTTGAACTCTGTGAGGTGAATGCACACAGCACAAAATGGTTTCTCAGAATGCTTCCTTGTTGTTTTTATATGAAGATGTTTCCTTTTCAACAATAGGCCTCAAAGTGCTTCAAATGTCCACTTGCAGATTCTACAAAAAGAGTGTTTCAAAACTGCTCAATCAAAAGAAAGGTTCGACTCTGGGAAATTAATGCACACATCACAAAGAAGTTTCTCAGCTTCTGTGTAGTTTTCATGTGAAGTTATTTCCTTTTCCACAATAGGCCGCAAAGGGCTCCAAATATCAACTTACAGATTCTAGGAAAAGAGAGTTTCAAAACTGCTCTACGAAAAGATAGGTTGAACTCTGTGAGATGAATGCACACATCACAAAGAAGTTTCTCAGAATGCATCTGTGTAGTTTTTACGGGAAGACATTTCCTTTTCCACCATCTTCCACAAAGGTCTCCAAGTAACCACTTGCAGATTCTACAGAAAGACACTTTAAAAACTGCTCTATCAAAAGATCAGTTCAAGTCTGTGGTTTGAATGCACACATCACAAAGAATTTTCTCAGAATGCTTCTGTGTAGTTTTCATATGAAGATATTTCCTTTTCCACCATAGGCCTCAAAGCACTCCAAATATCCACTTGCAGATTCTACAAAAAGAGATTTTCAAAACTAGTCAATCAAAAGAAAGGTTCAACTCTGTCAGTTGAATGCACATATCACAAACAAGTTTCTCGGAATGCGTCTGTGTAGTTTTTATGTGAAGATATTTCCTTCTCCACAACAGGCCTCAAAGTGCTCCGAATATCCACTTGCAGATTTTACTAAAGAGTGTTTCCAAACTGCTCAATCAAGAGGAAGTTTCAAGTCTGTGAGCTGAACGCACACATCACAAAGTAGTTTCTGAGAATGCTTCTGTGTAGTTTTTATGTGAAGATGTTTCCTTTTCCACCATAGGCTGCAAAGGGCTCCAAATATCCACTTGCAGATTCTACAAAAAGAGAGTTTCAAAAGTGCTCTATCAAAAGATAGGTTCAACTATGTGATATGAATGCACACATCACAAAGTAGTTTCTCAGAATGCTTCTGTGTAGTTTTTATGTAAAGATATTTCCTTTTCCACCATAGGCCTCAAAGCACTCCAAATATCCACTTGCAGATTCTACAAAAAGAGATTTTCAAAACTATTTAATCAAAAGAAAGGTTCAAATCTGTCAGTTGAAGGTACATATCACAAACAAGTTTATTGGAATGCTTCTGTGTAGTTTTTATGTGAAGATATTTCCTTTTCCACAACAGGCCTCAAGGTGCTCCAAATATCCACTTGCAGATTTCACTAAAAGTGTGTTTCCAAGCTGCTCAATCAAGAGGAAGTTTCAAGTCTGTGAGGTGAATGCACACATTACAAAGAAGTTACTGAGAATGCTTCTGTGTAGTTTTTATGTGAAGATATTTCCTTTTCCACCGCAGGCCTCAAAGCGCTGCAAATATCCACTTGCAGATTCTACAAAAAGAGAGTTTCAAAACTGCTGTATCAAAAGATAGGGTCAACTCTGCGAGTTGAATAAACACATCACAAATAAGTTTCTGGGAACGCTTCTGTATAGTTTTATGTGAATATATTTCCTTTTCCACCATATGCCTCAAAGCACTCCAAATATCCACTTGCACATTATAGAAACATAGTCTTTCAAAACTTGTCAATCAAAGAAAGGTTCAACTCCGTGAGATGAGTGCACACATCACAGAGAAGTTTCTCGGAATGTTTCTGTGTAGTTTTTATGTGAAGATATTGCCTTTTCCACAATAGGCCTCAAAGCGTTCCAAATATCCAATTGCAGATTCCACAAAAAAAGTTTTTTAAAACTGCTCAATCAAATGATAGATTAAACTCTGTGAGATTAGTGCACACATGTCAAAAAAGTTTCTCAGAATGCTTCTGTGTACTTTTTAGGGGAAGATATTTCCTTTTCCACCATCGGCCACAAAGGACTCCAAATAACCACATGCAGATTCTAGTAACACAGAGTTTCAAAACTGCTCTATCAAAAGATAAGTTCAACTCTGAGAGTTTAGTGCAACCATCGTGAAGAAGTTTCTCAGAATGCTTCTGAGTAGTGTTTATGTGAAGATATTTCCTTTTCCACCATAGGCCTGAAAGCCCTCCAAATATCCACTTGCAGATCCTACAAAAAGAAAGTTTCGAAATGCTCTCTCAAACGATAGTTTCGACTCTGTGGTATGAATACACACATCACAAAGAAGTTTCTCAGAATGCTTCTGTGTAGTTTTTAAATGAAGATATTTCTTTTTCCACCATAGGCCTCAAAGCACTCCAAATATGCACTTCCAGATTCTACAAAAAGAGTGTTTCAGAACTGCTCAATCAAAAGGAAGGTTCCAGTCTGAGACAAATACACACATCAAAAGGTAGTTTCTCAGAATGCTTCTGTGTAGTTTTTATGTGAAGATATTTTCCTTTCCACCATAGGCCACAAATGGCTCTAAATACCCACTTACATTTTCCACAAAAAGAGAGTTTCAAAACTGCTCTACCAAAGGTAAGTTTAACGCTGTGAGTTAAGAACATCACAAAGAAGTTTCTCAGAATGCTTCTGTGTAGTTCTTACGTAAAGATATTTCCTTTTACACAATAGGCAGAAAAGTGCTCCAAATATCCACTTGAAGATTCTACAGAAACCGTGTTTCAAAACTGCCGAATCAAAAGAAAGGTTCAACTCTGTGAGATGAATGCACACATAACAAAGGAGTTTCTCAGAATGCTTCTGTGTAGCTTTTATATGAAGACATTTAGTTTTCCACAACAGGCCTCAAAGCTCTCTCCATATCCACTTGCAGATTCTACCGAAAGAGTGCTTCCAAACTGCTCAATCAAAAGAGACATTCAAATCTGTGAGGTGAATGCAGACATCGTAAAGAAGTTTCTCAGAATGCTTTCTGTGTATTTTTTGTGTGAAGTTATTCGTTTTTGCACCATAGGCCTCCAAGCGTTCTAAATATCCACTTCTAGATTCTACAAAAAGAGAGTTTCAAAACTACTCAAACAAAAGGTTCAATTCTGTGAGTTGAAAGCAAACATCACAAAGAAGTTTCTCAGAATGCGTCTGTGTAGTTTTGATGTGAAGATATTTCCTTTTCACAGTAGAATGCAAAGGGCTCCAAATATCCACTTGGAGATTCTACAAAAAGAGTTTCAAAACCGCTCTGTCAAATGATAGGTTGAACTCCCGGAGGTGAATACACACATCACAAAGAGGTTTCTCAGCATGCTTCTGTGTAGTTTTTATGTAAACATATTTCCGTTTCTATCATAGGCCTCAAAGTGCTCCAAATATTCACTTGTACATTCTACCAAACGAGTATTTCAAAACTGCTCAATCAAATGGAAGGTTCAAAACCGTGACATGAATGCCCACATCACAAAGTAGTTTCTCAGAATGCTTCTGTGTAGTTTTTATGTGAAGATATTTCCTTTTCCACAACAGCGTGCAAAACGCTTCAAATATGCCCTTAGAGATTCCACAAAAAGAGTGTTTCCAAACTACTCAAATCAAAAAATGATTTCAACTCTGTGAGATGAATGCACACATCACAAACTAGTTTCTCAGAATGTTTTCTGCCTGGTTCTCATGCGAAGATAGTCCTTTTTCACCATAGGCCGCAATGTACTCCAAATATCCACCTGCAGATTCTACAAAAGTGAGTTTCAAAACTGCTCTATCAAAAGATCAGTTCGTCTCTGTGAGTTGAATGCATACATCAAAAAGAAGCTTCTCAAAATGCTTCTGTGTGGTTTTTCGGTGAAGATAGTTCTTTTTCTACCATAGGTCTCAAACCACTCCAAATATCCACTTGTAGATTCTATAAAAAGGAATGTTCAAAATTGCTCAATAAAAATAAAGTTTCAACACCGTGAGATGAGTGCACAAATCACAAAGGAGTTTCTCAAAATGCTTCTGGGTAGTTTTTCTGTGAAGATAGTTCCTTTTCTACCATGGGCCACAAAGGGCTCCAAATACCCACTTGCAGATTCTACAAAAAGAGAGTTTCACAACTGCTCTATCAAACAATATGTTCAACTTTGTGGGTTGAACACAAATATCACAAGAATTTTCTCCCAATGCTTCTGTGTAGTTTTTATGTGAAGACATTTCTTTTCCCTCCATAGTCCACAAAGTGCTCCAAATATCCACTTACATATTCTAGAAAAAGATTGCTTGGAAACTGCACAATGAAAAGAAAGGTTCAAATATATGAGATGAATGCACACATCACAAAGAAGTTTCTCAGAATCTCTCTGTGTAATTTTTATGTGAAGATATTTCCTTTCCCACCTTAGGTCTTAAAACGCTCCAAATATCCACTTGCAGATACTACAAGAAGATTGTTTCAAAACTGCACAAAAAAAGAAATGTTCAATTCTGTTTGATGAATGCACACATCACAAAGAAGTTTCTCAGAATGCTTCTCTGTAGTTTTTATGTGAAGATATTTCCTTTTCCACAATAGGCCTCAAAGGGCTCCAAATATCCACTTCCAGATTCTATGAAAAGAATATTTCCAAACTGCTCAATCATAGGAAATGTTCAACTCTGTGAGATGAATGCACACATCACAAGAAATTTCTCAGAATCCTTCAGTGTAGGTTTTATGAGAAGATAATTCCTTTTCCACAATAGTTCTCAAAGCACTCAAAATATCCACTTGCAGATTCTACAAAAGGAGTATTTCAAAACTGCTCAATCAAAAGAAAGGTTCAACTCTGTGAGATGAATGGACACATCACAAAGAAGTTTCTCAGAATGCTTCTGTGTAGTATTTTTGTGAAGATATTTCTTTTCCACCATAGACCGCCAGGGGACACAAATATCCACTTTCAGATTCTACAACAAGAGAGGTTCAAAACTACTCGATCAAGAGATGGTTTCAACTATGTGAGTTGAATGCACACATCACAAAGAACTATGTCGGAATTCTTTCTGTGTAGTTTTTATGTGAAGATATTTCCTTTTCCACAATAGACGTCAAAGTGATCCAGATATCCACTTGCAGATTCCACAAAAAGAGTGTTTCAAAAGTGCACAACCAAAAGAAAGGTTCAACTAGGTGAGATGAATGCACACATCAGAAGGAAGTTTCTCAGAATGCTTCTGCATAGCTTTTAAGGGAAGATACTTCCTTTTCCAACATAGGCCTCAAAGCACTCCAAATATCCTCCTGGAGATACCACAAAAAGAGTGTTTGCAAACTGCTCAATCAAAAGAAAGATTTAACTCTGTGAGATGAATCCACACATGACAAAGAAGTTTCTCAGAATGCTTCTGTGTAGTTTTTATGTGAAGATATTTCCTTTTCCACAATAAGACCCAAAAGGCTCCAAATATTCACTTGCAGATTCTAAAAAAAACAGTGTTTCAAAACTGCTCAATCAAAAGATAGTTCAACTCTGTGAGAAGAATGCTCACATCACTGAGAAGTTTCTCAGAATGCTTCTGTGTAGTTTTATATGAAGATATTTCCTTTCCCACCGTAGGCCACAAAAGGCTCCAAATATCCACTTGCAGATACTATGAAAAGAGAGTTTCAAAAGTGCTCATTCAAAAGATAGGTTCAACTCTGTGGTTTGAATGCACACAGCACAAAGAAGTTTCACAGAATGTGTCTGTGTAGTTTTTATGTGCGGATGTTTCCTTTTCCACCATATGCCTAAATATTTCCCAATTTCCACTTGCAGATTCCACAAGAAGAGTGTTTCAAAACTGCTGTATCAAATAAAGTTGAACTCTGTGAGGTGAATGCACACAGCACAAAATGGTTTCTCAGAATGCTTCCTTGTTGTTTTTATATGAAGATGTTTCCTTTTCAACAATAGGCCTCAAAGTGCTTCAAATGTCCACTTGCAGATTCTACAAAAAGAGTGTTTCAAAACTGCTCAATCAAAAGAAAGGTTCGACTCTGGGAAATTAATGCACACATCACAAAGAAGTTTCTCAGCTTCTGTGTAGTTTTCATGTGAAGTTATTTCCTTTTCCACAATAGGCCGCAAAGGGCTCCAAATATCAACTTACAGATTCTAGGAAAAGAGAGTTTCAAAACTGCTCTACGAAAAGATAGGTTGAACTCTGTGAGATGAATGCACACATCACAAAGAAGTTTCTCAGAATGCATCTGTGTAGTTTTTACGGGAAGATATTTCCTTTTCCACCATCTTCCACAAAGGTCTCCAAGTAACCACTTGCAGATTCTACAGAAAGACACTTTAAAAACTGCTCTATCAAAAGATCAGTTCAAGTCTGTGGTTTGAATGCACACATCACAAAGAATTTTCTCAGAATGCTTCTGTGTAGTTTTCATATGAAGATATTTCCTTTTCCACCATAGGCCTCAAAGCACTCCAAATATCCACTTGCAGATTCTACAAAAAGAGATTTTCAAAACTAGTCAATCAAAAGAAAGGTTCAACTCTGTCAGTTGAATGCACATATCACAAACAAGTTTCTCGGAATGCGTCTGTGTAGTTTTTATGTGAAGATATTTCCTTCTCCACAACAGGCCTCAAAGTGCTCCGAATATCCACTTGCAGATTTTACTAAAGAGTGTTTCCAAACTGCTCAATCAAGAGGAAGTTTCAAGTCTGTGAGCTGAACGCACACATCACAAAGTAGTTTCTGAGAATGCTTCTGTGTAGTTTTTATGTGAAGATGTTTCCTTTTCCACCATAGGCTGCAAAGGGCTCCAAATATCCACTTGCAGATTCTACAAAAAGAGAGTTTCAAAAGTGCTCTATCAAAAGATAGGTTCAACTATGTGATATGAATGCACACATCACAAAGTAGTTTCTCAGAATGCTTCTGTGTAGTTTTTATGTAAAGATATTTCCTTTTCCACCATAGGCCTCAAAGCACTCCAAATATCCACTTGCAGATTCTACAAAAAGAGATTTTCAAAACTATTTAATCAAAAGAAAGGTTCAAATCTGTCAGTTGAAGGTACATATCACAAACAAGTTTATTGGAATGCTTCTGTGTAGTTTTTATGTGAAGATATTTCCTTTTCCACAACAGGCCTCAAGGTGCTCCAAATATCCACTTGCAGATTTCACTAAAAGTGTGTTTCCAAGCTGCTCAATCAAGAGGAAGTTTCAAGTCTGTGAGGTGAATGCACACATTACAAAGAAGTTACTGAGAATGCTTCTGTGTAGTTTTTATGTGAAGATATTTCCTTTTCCACCGCAGGCCTCAAAGCGCTGCAAATATCCACTTGCAGATTCTACAAAAAGAGAGTTTCAAAACTGCTGTATCAAAAGATAGGGTCAACTCTGCGAGTTGAATAAGCACATCACAAATAAGTTTCTGGGAACGCTTCTGTATAGTTTTATGTGAATATATTTCCTTTTCCACCATATGCCTCAAAGCACTCCAAATATCCACTTGCACATTATAGAAACATAGTCTTTCAAAACTTGTCAATCAAAGAAAGGTTCAACTCCGTGAGATGAGTGCACACATCACAGAGAAGTTTCTCGGAATGTTTCTGTGTAGTTTTTATGTGAAGATATTGCCTTTTCCACAATAGGCCTCAAAGCGTTCCAAATATCCAATTGCAGATTCCACAAAAAAAGTTTTTTAAAACTGCTCAATCAAATGATAGATTAAACTCTGTGAGATTAGTGCACACATGTCAAAAAAGTTTCTCAGAATGCTTCTGTGTACTTTTTAGGGGAAGATATTTCCTTTTCCACCATCGGCCACAAAGGACTCCAAATAACCACATGCAGATTCTAGTAACACAGAGTTTCAAAACTGCTCTATCAAAAGATAAGTTCAACTCTGAGAGTTTAGTGCAACCATCGTGAAGAAGTTTCTCAGAATGCTTCTGAGTAGTGTTTATGTGAAGATATTTCCTTTTCCACCATAGGCCTGAAAGCCCTCCAAATATCCACTTGCAGATCCTACAAAAAGAAAGTTTCGAAATGCTCTCTCAAACGATAGTTTCGACTCTGTGGTATGAATACACACACACATCACAAAGAAGTTTCTCAGAATGCTTCTGTGTAGTTTTTAAATGAAGATATTTCTTTTTCCACCATAGGCCTCAAAGCACTCCAAATATGCACTTCCAGATTCTACAAAAAGAGTGTTTCAGAACTGCTCAATCAAAAGGAAGGTTCCAGTCTGAGACAAATACACACATCAAAAGGTAGTTTCTCAGAATGCTTCTGTGTAGTTTTTATGTGAAGATATTTTCCTTTCCACCATAGGCCACAAATGGCTCTAAATACCCACTTACATTTTCCACAAAAAGAGAGTTTCAAAACTGCTCTACCAAAGGTAAGTTTAACGCTGTGAGTTAAGAACATCACAAAGAAGTTTCTCAGAATGCTTCTGTGTAGTTCTTACGTAAAGATATTTCCTTTTACACAATAGGCAGAAAAGTGCTCCAAATATCCACTTGAAGATTCTACAAAAACCGTGTTTCAAAACTGCCGAATCAAAAGAAAGGTTCAACTCTGTGAGATGAATGCACACATAACAAAGGAGTTTCTCAGAATGCTTCTGTGTAGCTTTTATATGAAGACATTTAGTTTTCCACAACAGGCCTCAAAGCTCTCTCCATATCCACTTGCAGATTCTACCGAAAGAGTGCTTCCAAACTGCTCAATCAAAAGAGACATTCAAATCTGTGAGGTGAATGCAGACATCGTAAAGAAGTTTCTCAGAATGCTTCTGTGTATTTTTTGTGTGAAGTTATTCGTTTTTGCACCATAGGCCTCCAAGCGTTCTAAATATCCACTTCTAGATTCTACAAAAAGAGAGTTTCAAAACTACTCAAACAAAAGGTTCAATTCTGTGAGTTGAAAGCAAACATCACAAAGAAGTTTCTCAGAATGCGTCTGTGTAGTTTTGATGTGAAGATATTTCCTTTTCACAGTAGAATGCAAAGGGCTCCAAATATCCACTTGGAGATTCTACAAAAAGAGTTTCAAAACCGCTCTGTCAAATGATAGGTTGAACTCCCGGAGGTGAATACACACATCACAAAGAGGTTTCTCAGCATGCTTCTGTGTAGTTTTTATGTAAACATATTTCCGTTTCTATCATAGGCCTCAAAGTGCTCCAAATATTCACTTGTACATTCTACCAAACGAGTATTTCAAAACTGCTCAATCAAATGGAAGGTTCAAAACCGTGACATGAATGCCCACATCACAAAGTAGTTTCTCAGAATGCTTCTGTGTAGTTTTTATGTGAAGATATTTCCTTTTCCACAACAGCGTGCAAAACGCTTCAAATATGCCCTTAGAGATTCCACAAAAAGAGTGTTTCCAAACTACTCAAATCAAAAAATGATTTCAACTCTGTGAGATGAATGCACACATCACAAACTAGTTTCTCAGAATGTTTTCTGCCTGGTTCTCATGCGAAGATAGTCCTTTTTCACCATAGGCCGCAATGTACTCCAAATATCCACCTGCAGATTCTACAAAAGTGAGTTTCAAAACTGCTCTATCAAAAGATCAGTTCGTCTCTGTGAGTTGAATGCATACATCAAAAAGAAGCTTCTCAAAATGCTTCTGTGTGGTTTTTCGGTGAAGATAGTTCTTTTTCTACCATAGGTCTCAAACCACTCCAAATATCCACTTGTAGATTCTATAAAAAGGAATGTTCAAAATTGCTCAATAAAAATAAAGTTTCAACACCGTGAGATGAGTGCACAAATCACAAAGGAGTTTCTCAAAATGCTTCTGGGTAGTTTTTCTGTGAAGATAGTTCCTTTTCTACCATGGGCCACAAAGGGCTCCAAATACCCACTTGCAGATTCTACAAAAAGAGAGTTTCACAACTGCTCTATCAAACAATATGTTCAACTTTGTGGGTTGAACACAAATATCACAAGAATTTTCTCCCAATGCTTCTGTGTAGTTTTTATGTGAAGACATTTCTTTTCCCTCCATAGTCCACAAAGTGCTCCAAATATCCACTTACATATTCTAGAAAAAGATTGCTTGGAAACTGCACAATGAAAAGAAAGGTTCAAATATATGAGATGAATGCACACATCACAAAGAAGTTTCTCAGAATCTCTCTGTGTAATTTTTATGTGAAGATATTTCCTTTCCCACCTTAGGTCTTAAAACGCTCCAAATATCCACTTGCAGATACTACAAGAAGATTGTTTCAAAACTGCACAAAAAAAGAAATGTTCAATTCTGTTTGATGAATGCACACATCACAAAGAAGTTTCTCAGAATGCTTCTCTGTAGTTTTTATGTGAAGATATTTCCTTTTCCACAATAGGCCTCAAAGGGCTCCAAATATCCACTTCCAGATTCTATGAAAAGAATATTTCCAAACTGCTCAATCATAGGAAATGTTCAACTCTGTGAGATGAATGCACACATCACAAGAAATTTCTCAGAATCCTTCAGTGTAGGTTTTATGAGAAGATAATTCCTTTTCCACAATAGTTCTCAAAGCACTCAAAATATCCACTTGCAGATTCTACAAAAGGAGTATTTCAAAACTGCTCAATCAAAAGAAAGGTTCAACTCTGTGAGATGAATGGACACATCACAAAGAAGTTTCTCAGAATGCTTCTGTGTAGTATTTTTGTGAAGATATTTCTTTTCCACCATAGACCGCCAGGGGACACAAATATCCACTTTCAGATTCTACAACAAGAGAGGTTCAAAACTACTCGATCAAGAGATGGTTTCAACTATGTGAGTTGAATGCACACATCACAAAGAACTATGTCGGAATTCTTCTGTGTAGTTTTTATGTGAAGATATTTCCTTTTCCACAATAGACGTCAAAGTGATCCAGATATCCACTTGCAGATTCCACAAAAAGAGTGTTTCAAAAGTGCACAACCAAAAGAAAGGTTCAACTAGGTGAGATGAATGCACACATCAGAAGGAAGTTTCTCAGAATGCTTCTGCATAGCTTTTAAGGGAAGATACTTCCTTTTCCAACATAGGCCTCAAAGCACTCCAAATATCCTCCTGGAGATACCACAAAAAGAGTGTTTGCAAACTGCTCAATCAAAAGAAAGATTTAACTCTGTGAGATGAATCCACACATGACAAAGAAGTTTCTCAGAATGCTTCTGTGTAGTTTTTATGTGAAGATATTTCCTTTTCCACAATAAGACCCAAAAGGCTCCAAATATTCACTTGCAGATTCTAAAAAAAACAGTGTTTCAAAACTGCTCAATCAAAAGATAGTTCAACTCTGTGAGAAGAATGCTCACATCACTGAGAAGTTTCTCAGAATGCTTCTGTGTAGTTTTTATATGAAGATATTTCCTTTCCCACCGTAGGCCACAAAAGGCTCCAAATATCCACTTGCAGATACTATGAAAAGAGAGTTTCAAAACTGCTCATTCAAAAGATAGGTTCAACTCTGTGGTTTGAATGCACACAGCACAAAGAAGTTTCACAGAATGTGTCTGTGTAGTTTTTATGTGCGGATGTTTCCTTTTCCACCATATGCCTAAATATTTCCCAATTTCCACTTGCAGATTCTACAAGAAGAGTGTTTCAAAACTGCTGTATCAAATAAAGTTGAACTCTGTGAGGTGAATGCACACAGCACAAAATGGTTTCTCAGAATGCTTCCTTGTTGTTTTTATATGAAGATGTTTCCTTTTCAACAATAGGCCTCAAAGTGCTTCAAATGTCCACTTGCAGATTCTACAAAAAGAGTGTTTCAAAACTGCTCAATCAAAAGAAAGGTTCGACTCTGGGAAATTAATGCACACATCACAAAGAAGTTTCTCAGCTTCTGTGTAGTTTTCATGTGAAGTTATTTCCTTTTCCACAATAGGCCGCAAAGGGCTCCAAATATCAACTTACAGATTCTAGGAAAAGAGAGTTTCAAAACTGCTCTACGAAAAGATAGGTTGAACTCTGTGAGATGAATGCACACATCACAAAGAAGTTTCTCAGAATGCATCTGTGTAGTTTTTACGGGAAGACATTTCCTTTTCCACCATCTTCCACAAAGGTCTCCAAGTAACCACTTGCAGATTCTACAGAAAGACACTTTAAAAACTGCTCTATCAAAAGATCAGTTCAAGTCTGTGGTTTGAATGCACACATCACAAAGAATTTTCTCAGAATGCTTCTGTGTAGTTTTCATATGAAGATATTTCCTTTTCCACCATAGGCCTCAAAGCACTCCAAATATCCACTTGCAGATTCTACAAAAAGAGATTTTCAAAACTAGTCAATCAAAAGAAAGGTTCAACTCTGTCAGTTGAATGCACATATCACAAACAAGTTTCTCGGAATGCGTCTGTGTAGTTTTTATGTGAAGATATTTCCTTCTCCACAACAGGCCTCAAAGTGCTCCGAATATCCACTTGCAGATTTTACTAAAGAGTGTTTCCAAACTGCTCAATCAAGAGGAAGTTTCAAGTCTGTGAGCTGAACGCACACATCACAAAGTAGTTTCTGAGAATGCTTCTGTGTAGTTTTTATGTGAAGATGTTTCCTTTTCCACCATAGGCTGCAAAGGGCTCCAAATATCCACTTGCAGATTCTACAAAAAGAGAGTTTCAAAAGTGCTCTATCAAAAGATAGGTTCAACTATGTGATATGAATGCACACATCACAAAGTAGTTTCTCAGAATGCTTCTGTGTAGTTTTTATGTAAAGATATTTCCTTTTCCACCATAGGCCTCAAAGCACTCCAAATATCCACTTGCAGATTCTACAAAAAGAGATTTTCAAAACTATTTAATCAAAAGAAAGGTTCAAATCTGTCAGTTGAAGGTACATATCACAAACAAGTTTATTGGAATGCTTCTGTGTAGTTTTTATGTGAAGATATTTCCTTTTCCACAACAGGCCTCAAGGTGCTCCAAATATCCACTTGCAGATTTCACTAAAAGTGTGTTTCCAAGCTGCTCAATCAAGAGGAAGTTTCAAGTCTGTGAGGTGAATGCACACATTACAAAGAAGTTACTGAGAATGCTTCTGTGTAGTTTTTATGTGAAGATATTTCCTTTTCCACCGCAGGCCTCAAAGCGCTGCAAATATCCACTTGCAGATTCTACAAAAAGAGAGTTTCAAAACTGCTGTATCAAAAGATAGGGTCAACTCTGCGAGTTGAATAAACACATCACAAATAAGTTTCTGGGAACGCTTCTGTATAGTTTTATGTGAATATATTTCCTTTTCCACCATATGCCTCAAAGCACTCCAAATATCCACTTGCACATTATAGAAACATAGTCTTTCAAAACTTGTCAATCAAAGAAAGGTTCAACTCCGTGAGATGAGTGCACACATCACAGAGAAGTTTCTCGGAATGTTTCTGTGTAGTTTTTATGTGAAGATATTGCCTTTTCCACAATAGGCCTCAAAGCGTTCCAAATATCCAATTGCAGATTCCACAAAAAAAGTTTTTTAAAACTGCTCAATCAAATGATAGATTAAACTCTGTGAGATTAGTGCACACATGTCAAAAAAGTTTCTCAGAATGCTTCTGTGTACTTTTTAGGGGAAGATATTTCCTTTTCCACCATCGGCCACAAAGGACTCCAAATAACCACATGCAGATTCTAGTAACACAGAGTTTCAAAACTGCTCTATCAAAAGATAAGTTCAACTCTGAGAGTTTAGTGCAACCATCGTGAAGAAGTTTCTCAGAATGCTTCTGAGTAGTGTTTATGTGAAGATATTTCCTTTTCCACCATAGGCCTGAAAGCCCTCCAAATATCCACTTGCAGATCCTACAAAAAGAAAGTTTCGAAATGCTCTCTCAAACGATAGTTTCGACTCTGTGGTATGAATACACACATCACAAAGAAGTTTCTCAGAATGCTTCTGTGTAGTTTTTAAATGAAGATATTTCTTTTTCCACCATAGGCCTCAAAGCACTCCAAATATGCACTTCCAGATTCTACAAAAAGAGTGTTTCAGAACTGCTCAATCAAAAGGAAGGTTCCAGTCTGAGACAAATACACACATCAAAAGGTAGTTTCTCAGAATGCTTCTGTGTAGTTTTTATGTGAAGATATTTTCCTTTCCACCATAGGCCACAAATGGCTCTAAATACCCACTTACATTTTCCACAAAAAGAGAGTTTCAAAACTGCTCTACCAAAGGTAAGTTTAACGCTGTGAGTTAAGAACATCACAAAGAAGTTTCTCAGAATGCTTCTGTGTAGTTCTTACGTAAAGATATTTCCTTTTACACAATAGGCAGAAAAGTGCTCCAAATATCCACTTGAAGATTCTACAGAAACCGTGTTTCAAAACTGCCGAATCAAAAGAAAGGTTCAACTCTGTGAGATGAATGCACACATAACAAAGGAGTTTCTCAGAATGCTTCTGTGTAGCTTTTATATGAAGACATTTAGTTTTCCACAACAGGCCTCAAAGCTCTCTCCATATCCACTTGCAGATTCTACCGAAAGAGTGCTTCCAAACTGCTCAATCAAAAGAGACATTCAAATCTGTGAGGTGAATGCAGACATCGTAAAGAAGTTTCTCAGAATGCTTCTGTGTATTTTTTGTGTGAAGTTATTCGTTTTTGCACCATAGGCCTCCAAGCGTTCTAAATATCCACTTCTAGATTCTACAAAAAGAGAGTTTCAAAACTACTCAAACAAAAGGTTCAATTCTGTGAGTTGAAAGCAAACATCACAAAGAAGTTTCTCAGAATGCGTCTGTGTAGTTTTGATGTGAAGATATTTCCTTTTCACAGTAGAATGCAAAGGGCTCCAAATATCCACTTGGAGATTCTACAAAAAGAGTTTCAAAACCGCTCTGTCAAATGATAGGTTGAACTCCCGGAGGTGAATACACACATCACAAAGAGGTTTCTCAGCATGCTTCTGTGTAGTTTTTATGTAAACATATTTCCGTTTCTATCATAGGCCTCAAGTGCTCCAAATATTCACTTGTACATTCTACCAAACGAGTATTTCAAAACTGCTCAATCAAATGGAAGGTTCAAAACCGTGACATGAATGCCCACATCACAAAGTAGTTTCTCAGAATGCTTCTGTGTAGTTTTTATGTGAAGATATTTCCTTTTCCACAACAGCGTGCAAAACGCTTCAAATATGCCCTTAGAGATTCCACAAAAAGAGTGTTTCCAAACTACTCAAATCAAAAAATGATTTCAACTCTGTGAGATGAATGCACACATCACAAACTAGTTTCTCAGAATGTTTCTGCCTGGTTCTCATGCGAAGATAGTTCCTTTTTCACCATAGGCCGCAATGTACTCCAAATATCCACCTGCAGATTCTACAAAAGTGAGTTTCAAAACTGCTCTATCAAAAGATCAGTTCGTCTCTGTGAGTTGAATGCATACATCAAAAAGAAGCTTCTCAAAATGCTTCTGTGTGGTTTTTCGGTGAAGATAGTTCTTTTTCTACCATAGGTCTCAAACCACTCCAAATATCCACTTGTAGATTCTATAAAAAGGAATGTTCAAAATTGCTCAATAAAAATAAAGTTTCAACACCGTGAGATGAGTGCACAAATCACAAAGAAGTTTCTCAAAATGCTTCTGGGTAGTTTTTCTGTGAAGATAGTTCCTTTTCTACCATGGGCCACAAAGGGCTCCAAATACCCACTTGCAGATTCTACAAAAAGAGAGTTTCACAACTGCTCTATCAAACAATATGTTCAACTTTGTGGGTTGAACACAAATATCACAAGAATTTTCTCCCAATGCTTCTGTGTAGTTTTTATGTGAAGACATTTCTTTTCCCTCCATAGTCCACAAAGTGCTCCAAATATCCACTTACATATTCTAGAAAAAGATTGCTTGGAAACTGCACAATGAAAAGAAAGGTTCAAATATATGAGATGAATGCACACATCACAAAGAAGTTTCTCAGAATCTCTCTGTGTAATTTTTATGTGAAGATATTTCCTTTCCCACCTTAGGTCTTAAAACGCTCCA
This sequence comes from Homo sapiens, assembly GCF_000001405.40. Taxonomy (NCBI): domain Eukaryota; kingdom Metazoa; phylum Chordata; class Mammalia; order Primates; family Hominidae; genus Homo; species Homo sapiens. Next base: position 10,326,595 of record NC_000024.10, on the reverse strand, counting down.
AATATCCACTTGCAGATACTACAAGAAGATTGTTTCAAAACTGCACAAAAAAAGAAATGTTCAATTCTGTTTGATGAATGCACACATCACAAAGAAGTTTCTCAGAATGCTTCTCTGTAGTTTTTATGTGAAGATATTTCCTTTTCCACAATAGGCCTCAAAGGGCTCCAAATATCCACTTCCAGATTCTATGAAAAGAATATTTCCAAACTGCTCAATCATAGGAAATGTTCAACTCTGTGAGATGAATGCACACATCACAAGAAATTTCTCAGAATCCTTCAGTGTAGGTTTTATGAGAAGATAATTCCTTTTCCACAATAGTTCTCAAAGCACTCAAAATATCCACTTGCAGATTCTACAAAAGGAGTATTTCAAAACTGCTCAATCAAAAGAAAGGTTCAACTCTGTGAGATGAATGGACACATCACAAAGAAGTTTCTCAGAATGCTTCTGTGTAGTATTTTTGTGAAGATATTTCTTTTCCACCATAGACCGCCAGGGGACACAAATATCCACTTTCAGATTCTACAACAAGAGAGGTTCAAAACTACTCGATCAAGAGATGGTTTCAACTATGTGAGTTGAATGCACACATCACAAAGAACTATGTCGGAATTCTTCTGTGTAGTTTTTATGTGAAGATATTTCCTTTTCCACAATAGACGTCAAAGTGATCCAGATATCCACTTGCAGATTCCACAAAAAGAGTGTTTCAAAAGTGCACAACCAAAAGAAAGGTTCAACTAGGTGAGATGAATGCACACATCAGAAGGAAGTTTCTCAGAATGCTTCTGCATAGCTTTTAAGGGAAGATACTTCCTTTTCCAACATAGGCCTCAAAGCACTCCAAATATCCTCCTGGAGATCCCACAAAAAGAGTGTTTGCAAACTGCTCAATCAAAAGAAAGATTTAACTCTGTGAGATGAATCCACACATCACAAAGAAGTTTCTCAGAATGCTTCTGTGTAGTTTTTAATTGAAGATATTTCTTTTTCCACAATAGGCCTCAAAGCGCTCAAAATATCCACTTTCACATTCTACAAAAAGAGTGTTTCAAAACTGCACAATCAAAAGATAGTTCAACTCTGTGAGTTGAATGCGCACAACAAAAAGATGTTTCTCGGAATTATTTCTGTGTAGTTTTTATGTGAAGATATTTCCTTTTCCACAATGGGCCTCAAAGTGCTCCAAATATCCACTTGCAGATTCTACAAAAAGAGTTTTCCAAAACTGCTCCATCAAAAGAAAGTTTCACCTCTGTGAGATGAATGCACATACCACAAAGAAGTGTCTCAGAATGCTTCTGTGTAGTTTTTATGTGAAGATATTTCCTTTTCCACAATAAGCCCCAAAAGGCTCCAAATATTCACTTGCAGATTCTAAAAAAACAGTGTTTCAAAACTGCTCAATCAAAAGAAAGGTTCAACTCTGTGAGAAGAATGCTCACATCACTGAGAAGTTTCTCAGAATGCTTCTGTGTAGTTTTTATATGAAGATATTTCCTTTCCCACCGTAGGCCACAAAAGGCTCCAAATATCCACTTGCAGATACTATGAAAAGAGAGTTTCAAAACTGCTCATTCAAAAGATAGGTTCAACTCTGTGGTTTGAATGCACACAGCACAAAGAAGTTTCACAGAATGTGTCTGTGTAGTTTTTATGTGCGGATGTTTCCTTTTCCACCATATGCCTAAATATTTCCCAATTTCCACTTGCAGATTCTACAAGAAGAGTGTTTCAAAACTGCTGTATCAAATAAAGTTGAACTCTGTGAGGTGAATGCACACAGCACAAAATGGTTTCTCAGAATGCTTTCCCTTGTTGTTTTTATATGAAGATGTTTCCTTTTCAACAATAGGCCTCAAAGTGCTTCAAATGTCCACTTGCAGATTCTACAAAAAGAGTGTTTCAAAACTGCTCAATCAAAAGAAAGGTTCGACTCTGGGAAATTAATGCACACATCACAAAGAAGTTTCTCAGCTTCTGTGTAGTTTTCATGTGAAGTTATTTCCTTTTCCACAATAGGCCGCAAAGGGCTCCAAATATCAACTTACAGATTCTAGGAAAAGAGAGTTTCAAAACTGCTCTACGAAAAGATAGGTTGAACTCTGTGAGATGAATGCACACATCACAAAGAAGTTTCTCAGAATGCATCTGTGTAGTTTTTACGGGAAGACATTTCCTTTTCCACCATCTTCCACAAAGGTCTCCAAGTAACCACTTGCAGATTCTACAGAAAGACACTTTAAAAACTGCTCTATCAAAAGATCAGTTCAAGTCTGTGGTTTGAATGCACACATCACAAAGAATTTTCTCAGAATGCTTCTGTGTAGTTTTCATATGAAGATATTTCCTTTTCCACCATAGGCCTCAAAGCACTCCAAATATCCACTTGCAGATTCTACAAAAAGAGATTTTCAAAACTAGTCAATCAAAAGAAAGGTTCAACTCTGTCAGTTGAATGCACATATCACAAACAAGTTTCTCGGAATGCGTCTGTGTAGTTTTTATGTGAAGATATTTCCTTCTCCACAACAGGCCTCAAAGTGCTCCGAATATCCACTTGCAGATTTTACTAAAGAGTGTTTCCAAACTGCTCAATCAAGAGGAAGTTTCAAGTCTGTGAGCTGAACGCACACATCACAAAGTAGTTTCTGAGAATGCTTCTGTGTAGTTTTTATGTGAAGATGTTTCCTTTTCCACCATAGGCTGCAAAGGGCTCCAAATATCCACTTGCAGATTCTACAAAAAGAGAGTTTCAAAAGTGCTCTATCAAAAGATAGGTTCAACTATGTGATATGAATGCACACATCACAAAGTAGTTTCTCAGAATGCTTCTGTGTAGTTTTTATGTAAAGATATTTCCTTTTCCACCATAGGCCTCAAAGCACTCCAAATATCCACTTGCAGATTCTACAAAAAGAGATTTTCAAAACTATTTAATCAAAAGAAAGGTTCAAATCTGTCAGTTGAAGGTACATATCACAAACAAGTTTATTGGAATGCTTCTGTGTAGTTTTTATGTGAAGATATTTCCTTTTCCACAACAGGCCTCAAGGTGCTCCAAATATCCACTTGCAGATTTCACTAAAAGTGTGTTTCCAAGCTGCTCAATCAAGAGGAAGTTTCAAGTCTGTGAGGTGAATGCACACATTACAAAGAAGTTACTGAGAATGCTTCTGTGTAGTTTTTATGTGAAGATATTTCCTTTTCCACCGCAGGCCTCAAAGCGCTGCAAATATCCACTTGCAGATTCTACAAAAAGAGAGTTTCAAAACTGCTGTATCAAAAGATAGGGTCAACTCTGCGAGTTGAATAAACACATCACAAATAAGTTTCTGGGAACGCTTCTGTATAGTTTTATGTGAATATATTTCCTTTTCCACCATATGCCTCAAAGCACTCCAAATATCCACTTGCACATTATAGAAACATAGTCTTTCAAAACTTGTCAATCAAAGAAAGGTTCAACTCCGTGAGATGAGTGCACACATCACAGAGAAGTTTCTCGGAATGTTTCTGTGTAGTTTTTATGTGAAGATATTGCCTTTTCCACAATAGGCCTCAAAGCGTTCCAAATATCCAATTGCAGATTCCACAAAAAAAGTTTTTTAAAACTGCTCAATCAAATGATAGATTAAACTCTGTGAGATTAGTGCACACATGTCAAAAAAGTTTCTCAGAATGCTTCTGTGTACTTTTTAGGGGAAGATATTTCCTTTTCCACCATCGGCCACAAAGGACTCCAAATAACCACATGCAGATTCTAGTAACACAGAGTTTCAAAACTGCTCTATCAAAAGATAAGTTCAACTCTGAGAGTTTAGTGCAACCATCGTGAAGAAGTTTCTCAGAATGCTTCTGAGTAGTGTTTATGTGAAGATATTTCCTTTTCCACCATAGGCCTGAAAGCCCTCCAAATATCCACTTGCAGATCCTACAAAAAGAAAGTTTCGAAATGCTCTCTCAAACGATAGTTTCGACTCTGTGGTATGAATACACACATCACAAAGAAGTTTCTCAGAATGCTTCTGTGTAGTTTTTAAATGAAGATATTTCTTTTTCCACCATAGGCCTCAAAGCACTCCAAATATGCACTTCCAGATTCTACAAAAAGAGTGTTTCAGAACTGCTCAATCAAAAGGAAGGTTCCAGTCTGAGACAAATACACACATCAAAAGGTAGTTTCTCAGAATGCTTCTGTGTAGTTTTTATGTGAAGATATTTTCCTTTCCACCATAGGCCACAAATGGCTCTAAATACCCACTTACATTTTCCACAAAAAGAGAGTTTCAAAACTGCTCTACCAAAGGTAAGTTTAACGCTGTGAGTTAAGAACATCACAAAGAAGTTTCTCAGAATGCTTCTGTGTAGTTCTTACGTAAAGATATTTCCTTTTACACAATAGGCAGAAAAGTGCTCCAAATATCCACTTGAAGATTCTACAAAAACCGTGTTTCAAAACTGCCGAATCAAAAGAAAGGTTCAACTCTGTGAGATGAATGCACACATAACAAAAGAGTTTCTCAGAATGCTTCTGTGTAGCTTTTATATGAAGACATTTAGTTTTCCACAACAGGCCTCAAAGCTCTCTCCATATCCACTTGCAGATTCTACCGAAAGAGTGCTTCCAAACTGCTCAATCAAAAGAGACATTCAAATCTGTGAGGTGAATGCAGACATCGTAAAGAAGTTTCTCAGAATGCTTCTGTGTATTTTTTGTGTGAAGTTATTCGTTTTTGCACCATAGGCCTCCAAGCGTTCTAAATATCCACTTCTAGATTCTACAAAAAGAGAGTTTCAAAACTACTCAAACAAAAGGTTCAATTCTGTGAGTTGAAAGCAAACATCACAAAGAAGTTTCTCAGAATGCGTCTGTGTAGTTTTGATGTGAAGATATTTCCTTTTCACAGTAGAATGCAAAGGGCTCCAAATATCCACTTGGAGATTCTACAAAAAGAGTTTCAAAACCGCTCTGTCAAATGATAGGTTGAACTCCCGGAGGTGAATACACACATCACAAAGAGGTTTCTCAGCATGCTTCTGTGTAGTTTTTATGTAAACATATTTCCGTTTCTATCATAGGCCTCAAAGTGCTCCAAATATTCACTTGTACATTCTACCAAACGAGTATTTCAAAACTGCTCAATCAAATGGAAGGTTCAAAACCGTGACATGAATGCCCACATCACAAAGTAGTTTCTCAGAATGCTTCTGTGTAGTTTTTATGTGAAGATATTTCCTTTTCCACAACAGCGTGCAAAACGCTTCAAATATGCCCTTAGAGATTCCACAAAAAGAGTGTTTCCAAACTACTCAAATCAAAAAATGATTTCAACTCTGTGAGATGAATGCACACATCACAAACTAGTTTCTCAGAATGTTTCTGCCTGGTTCTCATGCGAAGATAGTTCCTTTTTCACCATAGGCCGCAATGTACTCCAAATATCCACCTGCAGATTCTACAAAAGTGAGTTTCAAAACTGCTCTATCAAAAGATCAGTTCGTCTCTGTGAGTTGAATGCATACATCAAAAAGAAGCTTCTCAAAATGCTTCTGTGTGGTTTTTCGGTGAAGATAGTTCTTTTTCTACCATAGGTCTCAAACCACTCCAAATATCCACTTGTAGATTCTATAAAAAGGAATGTTCAAAATTGCTCAATAAAAATAAAGTTTCAACACCGTGAGATGAGTGCACAAATCACAAAGGAGTTTCTCAAAATGCTTCTGGGTAGTTTTTCTGTGAAGATAGTTCCTTTTCTACCATGGGCCACAAAGGGCTCCAAATACCCACTTGCAGATTCTACAAAAAGAGAGTTTCACAACTGCTCTATCAAACAATATGTTCAACTTTGTGGGTTGAACACAAATATCACAAGAATTTTCTCCCAATGCTTCTGTGTAGTTTTTATGTGAAGACATTTCTTTTCCCTCCATAGTCCACAAAGTGCTCCAAATATCCACTTACATATTCTAGAAAAAGATTGCTTGGAAACTGCACAATGAAAAGAAAGGTTCAAATATATGAGATGAATGCACACATCACAAAGAAGTTTCTCAGAATCTCTCTGTGTAATTTTTATGTGAAGATATTTCCTTTCCCACCTTAGGTCTTAAAACGCTCCAAATATCCACTTGCAGATACTACAAGAAGATTGTTTCAAAACTGCACAAAAAAAGAAATGTTCAATTCTGTTTGATGAATGCACACATCACAAAGAAGTTTCTCAGAATGCTTCTCTGTAGTTTTTATGTGAAGATATTTCCTTTTCCACAATAGGCCTCAAAGGGCTCCAAGTATCCACTTCCAGATTCTATGAAAAGAATATTTCCAAACTGCTCAATCATAGGAAATGTTCAACTCTGTGAGATGAATGCACACATCACAAGAAATTTCTCAGAATCCTTCAGTGTAGGTTTTATGAGAAGATAATTCCTTTTCCACAATAGTTCTCAAAGCACTCAAAATATCCACTTGCAGATTCTACAAAAGGAGTATTTCAAAACTGCTCAATCAAAAGAAAGGTTCAACTCTGTGAGATGAATGGACACATCACAAAGAAGTTTCTCAGAATGCTTCTGTGTAGTATTTTTGTGAAGATATTTCTTTTCCACCATAGACCGCCAGGGGACACAAATATCCACTTTCAGATTCTACAACAAGAGAGGTTCAAAACTACTCGATCAAGAGATGGTTTCAACTATGTGAGTTGAATGCACACATCACAAAGAACTATGTCGGAATTCTTCTGTGTAGTTTTTATGTGAAGATATTTCCTTTTCCACAATAGACGTCAAAGTGATCCAGATATCCACTTGCAGATTCCACAAAAAGAGTGTTTCAAAAGTGCACAACCAAAAGAAAGGTTCAACTAGGTGAGATGAATGCACACATCAGAAGGAAGTTTCTCAGAATGCTTCTGCATAGCTTTTAAGGGAAGATACTTCCTTTTCCAACATAGGCCTCAAAGCACTCCAAATATCCTCCTGGAGATCCCACAAAAAGAGTGTTTGCAAACTGCTCAATCAAAAGAAAGATTTAACTCTGTGAGATGAATCCACACATCACAAAGAAGTTTCTCAGAATGCTTCTGTGTAGTTTTTAATTGAAGATATTTCTTTTTCCACAATAGGCCTCAAAGCGCTCAAAATATCCACTTTCACATTCTACAAAAAGAGTGTTTCAAAACTGCACAATCAAAAGATAGTTCAACTCTGTGAGTTGAATGCGCACAACAAAAAGATGTTTCTCGGAATTATTTCTGTGTAGTTTTTATGTGAAGATATTTCCTTTTCCACAATGGGCCTCAAAGTGCTCCAAATATCCACTTGCAGATTCTACAAAAAGAGTTTTCCAAAACTGCTCCATCAAAAGAAAGTTTCACCTCTGTGAGATGAATGCACATACCACAAAGAAGTGTCTCAGAATGCTTCTGTGTAGTTTTTATGTGAAGATATTTCCTTTTCCACAATAAGCCCCAAAAGGCTCCAAATATTCACTTGCAGATTCTAAAAAAACAGTGTTTCAAAACTGCTCAATCAAAAGAAAGGTTCAACTCTGTGAGAAGAATGCTCACATCACTGAGAAGTTTCTCAGAATGCTTCTGTGTAGTTTTTATATGAAGATATTTCCTTTCCCACCGTAGGCCACAAAAGGCTCCAAATATCCACTTGCAGATACTATGAAAAGAGAGTTTCAAAACTGCTCATTCAAAAGATAGGTTCAACTCTGTGGTTTGAATGCACACAGCACAAAGAAGTTTCACAGAATGTGTCTGTGTAGTTTTTATGTGCGGATGTTTCCTTTTCCACCATATGCCTAAATATTTCCCAATTTCCACTTGCAGATTCTACAAGAAGAGTGTTTCAAAACTGCTGTATCAAATAAAGTTGAACTCTGTGAGGTGAATGCACACAGCACAAAATGGTTTCTCAGAATGCTTTCCCTTGTTGTTTTTATATGAAGATGTTTCCTTTTCAACAATAGGCCTCAAAGTGCTTCAAATGTCCACTTGCAGATTCTACAAAAAGAGTGTTTCAAAACTGCTCAATCAAAAGAAAGGTTCGACTCTGGGAAATTAATGCACACATCACAAAGAAGTTTCTCAGCTTCTGTGTAGTTTTCATGTGAAGTTATTTCCTTTTCCACAATAGGCCGCAAAGGGCTCCAAATATCAACTTACAGATTCTAGGAAAAGAGAGTTTCAAAACTGCTCTACGAAAAGATAGGTTGAACTCTGTGAGATGAATGCACACATCACAAAGAAGTTTCTCAGAATGCATCTGTGTAGTTTTTACGGGAAGACATTTCCTTTTCCACCATCTTCCACAAAGGTCTCCAAGTAACCACTTGCAGATTCTACAGAAAGACACTTTAAAAACTGCTCTATCAAAAGATCAGTTCAAGTCTGTGGTTTGAATGCACACATCACAAAGAATTTTCTCAGAATGCTTCTGTGTAGTTTTCATATGAAGATATTTCCTTTTCCACCATAGGCCTCAAAGCACTCCAAATATCCACTTGCAGATTCTACAAAAAGAGATTTTCAAAACTAGTCAATCAAAAGAAAGGTTCAACTCTGTCAGTTGAATGCACATATCACAAACAAGTTTCTCGGAATGCGTCTGTGTAGTTTTTATGTGAAGATATTTCCTTCTCCACAACAGGCCTCAAAGTGCTCCGAATATCCACTTGCAGATTTTACTAAAGAGTGTTTCCAAACTGCTCAATCAAGAGGAAGTTTCAAGTCTGTGAGCTGAACGCACACATCACAAAGTAGTTTCTGAGAATGCTTCTGTGTAGTTTTTATGTGAAGATGTTTCCTTTTCCACCATAGGCTGCAAAGGGCTCCAAATATCCACTTGCAGATTCTACAAAAAGAGAGTTTCAAAAGTGCTCTATCAAAAGATAGGTTCAACTATGTGATATGAATGCACACATCACAAAGTAGTTTCTCAGAATGCTTCTGTGTAGTTTTTATGTAAAGATATTTCCTTTTCCACCATAGGCCTCAAAGCACTCCAAATATCCACTTGCAGATTCTACAAAAAGAGATTTTCAAAACTATTTAATCAAAAGAAAGGTTCAAATCTGTCAGTTGAAGGTACATATCACAAACAAGTTTATTGGAATGCTTTCTGTGTAGTTTTTATGTGAAGATATTTCCTTTTCCACAACAGGCCTCAAGGTGCTCCAAATATCCACTTGCAGATTTCACTAAAAGTGTGTTTCCAAGCTGCTCAATCAAGAGGAAGTTTCAAGTCTGTGAGGTGAATGCACACATTACAAAGAAGTTACTGAGAATGCTTCTGTGTAGTTTTTATGTGAAGATATTTCCTTTTCCACCGCAGGCCTCAAAGCGCTGCAAATATCCACTTGCAGATTCTACAAAAAGAGAGTTTCAAAACTGCTGTATCAAAAGATAGGGTCAACTCTGCGAGTTGAATAAGCACATCACAAATAAGTTTCTGGGAACGCTTCTGTATAGTTTTATGTGAATATATTTCCTTTTCCACCATATGCCTCAAAGCACTCCAAATATCCACTTGCACATTATAGAAACATAGTCTTTCAAAACTTGTCAATCAAAGAAAGGTTCAACTCCGTGAGATGAGTGCACACATCACAGAGAAGTTTCTCGGAATGTT